>NC_000004.12:98012290-98315320 GCF_000001405.40 Homo sapiens | reverse complement strand
CTTGGGAATATAAAATAAAGAGGACACAAATCATATCCTCAGAGAGCTAACTGTCCAGTAAGAGACAGAGAGAGGTTAATAAATTACCACAATTCAATGTGATTGATACCACTATGGAGGTTATGTACAAGCTATAATGAGAAACAATCAAAGATGTATAAATATCATGAAGTTTGCAAATAAGGTAACATTTGAGTGGAGTTATTAAGGACAATAAAGCATATTCTAAGCCAAAAAGAAAAATACATTCTACAAGGAAGGAATATGTAAAAGCACTACCAGCTGAAACTACAGACACTACATTTCTAAAAGCAACATTCTCTACCACTGAGTAATTTTCTGACCAACAGCTGAAGGCTACCAGTATTGAGAAGCTGTAAAAAGTAGATGACTGGTATTATCCAAGATTTGAAGAAAAGCTAGATAGAAGGAAAAAACAACGGTATACCTATAAAATGTCTATTTACCCATCAGGACCCGGATAAAATGTCATCCCCTCTGTGACACTTTGAAAGACTTAAAAATGTGAGTTGAATCCATATCTCTGTTTCTACAACACTTCGTAATCAGCTCCATTATATAATATATTATACTGTATTAAAACTTATATATTACTTATCTATGTAGACCACTAAACTCTCCAGGGCAAGATTACCAACTAATGCATAGTGGTACACAATTAATGCTAGTTGAATAGAACTGCATCCCTCCTCTTACAGAGTTATAACAGAATAAATGAAAGAGGCTTATACAAACAATGAATACACACTGACATAAGTTCAACTGGAGGGATGTATAAACTGCTATGGGAATACTAAAGATGAAGCAAGTTACATGTATTGATGTTGCAGTAGTTATAATTACTCCTAAGAGAAAAGAGGATTGAGTTTACAAAGAGATTGTCTTATATTTTAAGATTCTCTCATTAAGAATCTTGATAAGATTCTCTCACCAAGGAAACTTGATTTCTTTTGAAGTTAAGAACGAAGTTTTTCATATAATTACCAGTCACTAGCTCATGCAGAGACTAAACTTTTCACTTTGCATTAAGCTAATCAGGTCTTGGATTATAGTTTTTTCATAAGCAAATGTATGCAAAAATGTTCTTTAAGCTTTCAGAAATCACTGCAGAAAATTACCTTGCCTTTATATTATCCCTCCCACATGCACACATCAGAATGAAAATATGATCAATCCATAACTAAGTTATTACGAGCCAAATAAAAACATTCTGCTTGCTCCTTTAGTACAATGAAAAGGTGTATAACACTTAACCATGGAAAAGAAAATTACAAGCATCTAAAATGGACTCACCTCACAGAACATTGTGTGCTAAAATCTAGACTATGAATCCTTATGTCTCTTTAAGAAACAAAACAACGACCCAATTTCTCTGCCTTTTGGAGCCTCCTTGTGAGGTTTATTTCAATGAATATTAAAAAGTAGGACATGATCGTGATTCTTACTTTTTCTTGAGACACGGTCTTGCTCTGTTGCTCAGGATGGAGTGCAGTGGCATGATCATGGCTTACTACACCCTCGACCTCCTGGGCCGAAGTGATCCTCTCACCTCGGCCTCCCAAGTAGATGGGACCACAGGCACCTGCCACCATGCCTGGCCAATGTTTTAAATTTTTTTGTGGCGATGAGGTCTCACTATGTTGCCCAGGCTGATCTTGAACTCCTGGGCTCAAATGATCCTCCTGGCCTCAGCCTCCCAAAGTGCTGGGATTACAGCTGTGAGCTACCACACCAGGCCCAACTGTAGCTTCTTGTGTGTAAAGTTCTAATGCTAAGGTATTCCTCACTAGCAGTTATCCCAACATATAACTATTGTACAATACAATCCATCTTGATACCTAGAAATGTATATTCCACTTCTGATGGTTAATTTTCTATCAATTAGCTGGGCTACAGTGCCCAGGCATTTGGCCAAACATTATTTTGGATGTCTCTGTCTGTGAAGGTGTTTTTGGATAAGATGAACATTTAAATCAGTAGGTTTTCAGTAAAGCAGATTTGCTCTTTATGTGGGACATTGTGCCCTATCAGTTGAAGAACTGAACAGAATAAACAACACACCTTACCCAAATAAGAAGAAATTCTGCTAACAGACAGTCTTCAGAGTTGAACTGCAGCATCAGCCCTTCCCTAGGTCTCCAACCTGACAACCCACATTGCAGATTTGGACTTGCAACCCCCATAATTGCATGAGCCAATTTCTTTTTTTTTTTTTTTTTTTTTTTTTTTTTGAGACAGAGTCTTGCTCTGTCACCCAGGCTGGAGTGCAGTGGTGTGATCTCGGCTCACTGCAAGTTCCACCTCCCAAGTTCATGCCATTCTCCTGCCTCAGTCTCCAGAGCAGCTGGGACTACAGGCGCCTGCCACCTCGCCCGACTAATTTTTTGTACTTTTACTAGAGACGGGGTTTCCCCATGTTAGCCAGGATGGTCTCGATCTCCTGACCTTGCGATCCACCCGCCTCAGCCTCCCAAAGTGCTGGGATTACAGGCGTGAGCCACCGTGACCAGCCCTTAAATAAATCTCTCTCCCCCCGCCCATACCTATTTCTCTCTCTATATATATATATCTATACATCTATGTATAGCTACACAAACATACACATACACACATGCACACACACATTCCATTGGTTCTATATCTCTGAAGAACCCTAATATACCACTGCTCCTAGAAAAGAGGATCATCTTAGCCCTCCCAACAAAGATTTCCAAGTAAGAACACAAACGTACCACACAAATATTAGAAAAAAATAGTATCAACCTCTGCCCTACAATCTACTGTCTCCTTGTCATCATATGAGGGCCAGCTCAGGAAATAAGGAATATGACAGTTATCACCAAATACAGAGGATTTGTTAGGGAGAAAGCACATTGTATGTTTATCTAGGAGCTAGAAATAGGACCAATGAGCAGCAGCTGACAGAAAGATGATTAGGGATCAACATTAAAAAGTGTCTTCCAGTCTTAGGGCTATGAAAAAATGAAACAGATCCCCTCATAAAGAATGATGAAAGATTCCCTCTTCATAAGGGCTATTTGGTAAGGATGAAACAGAATTATTAGCTGGAGACTGGGTTACTAAGGTGTTCATGAATTGCAAAATTAGATGATACTATTATTAAAATGCTTCCCCTGGCCCTGAGAATAGTGAGCTAAACAGGTCTACAAGTATCATAGTAGAAGAAACCATAAGCCTTGTTCCCCAACTTTAGTAAAATCATCTATCTCCTCACTGCTTTCCATTATTTACCATCCTCTATCTTCTTCCTCCTGTCACTCTGATTTCTTGCTGCCTTATCTTACTCCTCATTCCAATTTCATTGTCCCCTGCCTAATTGTTTTTAAGAACATAAAAATGAAGCTAACTGCAGTGGCTCATGCCTGCTAACCCTACGGTTTGGGAGGCTGAAGCAGAAGGACTGCTTGAGGCCAGAAGTTTGAGACCAGCCTGGACAACATAGTGAGACCCCATGTATACAAAAAGTAAAAATAAATTAGTTGGACATGGTGAAGTATGCCTGCAATCCTAGCTATTCAGGAAGCTGAGGTGGGAGGACTGCTTGAGTGCGGGGGTTCAACGCTGCCGTGAGCATGGATCCCACTACTGCACTCCAGCCTGGGTGACAAAGCAAAACCCTGTCTCAAAACACACACATACATGTGCACACACACATAAATATACATATATATTTCTTATCATATGTATCTGTGACAAGAAAATAAGAAAAAGCAAATACTTTAAGTAAAAGATCTCTCTCCAATGTCACACACGATGGGACCTTCATAGGTATGTAAGATTTTTCCTACGGTGTTCTCCCCCTCCTTTGTTTAGAATGTAAGTAAATTCTGTTGTCTTGGAAATGACAAACTAGGTCTTACTTTCCCATTTTACAGAGTTATTTTCTTTTCTCTTTACAAGAAGTAAAAACAACAAACACATACTTATTTTAAAAAATACTTAAGAGTCTTTGACAAAATTCCACATTTTTTCTTCAGAGGCCTAGCAAAATGCTTACATTTATATTCCTCTAGACAGTATGACAGTATCTTATTTACAGATTAGACCCGATAACAAATTGTGTGAAAACTGGTATTGCTTTTGATTCATCCCAGGCAGCATTCTTTTCAACCCACTGAAAAGATACTGTCTACATTAAAACCTTATGGTTTAAAGTGCCATCCATAAATTAGCATATTGGCATCCTCTAGAAAATTATTAGAAATGCAAATTCCTGAGCCCCACCCCAAAACTACTGAATCAGAGTCTCTGGGGATAGGGCCTAAGTATTTACGATTTAACAATCTTTCCAAATAATTTTATGCAGCCTAAAATTTGAGAAGCATTTGTGTGAGCCATGGCTGTCCAAGGGAAATATAAAGTGAGCCACACATATAACTTTATATTTTCTAGCAGCAATATTTAAAAAGGTAAAAAGAAACAGATAAAATTAAGTTTTGATCAATATAAAAATTAAATCTTTTTTTTTTAGCAATAAGTCTTTGAGATTATAGTTTATCTCAATTTCAACTTTGCCGTTCAAGTGCTCAATAACCATATGTGGCTTGGTGGCTACTAGACTGGATGGCATACATCTAGAACTTGTTATTCAAAGACTGGTACATGATCCAAGAACATCAGCATGCATATTATCAGAGTAATTCAGAGTATAATACAATATAAATTAGTTCATTCTGCTTTACATGCAGTACTTCTGGTGTCTTCTAAAACAATTTTTTAAAGAACGAATTCAATCAAAAATCAAAGATTTGAACTTTTAATAAGCTGAATTAAGTACTGGAATCAGATCATTTCCTTTTGTCCTTCATTATTTTATGATTATTCCCTTTTGATTTGACATTGCAATTTTTACTTTAAGGTCAGTAAATATGTAGTCCCACTAGGTACTGAACATACCTCATTGCTTCTCAGCCCTCTGGCTAAGATCTAGTGTAGACACTGAACATTCCCCTATGATAGCACTTATTATGATAAATTATAATTTAACATTTATCTATCAGTCTCTACTCCACAAAAGAAATAAGCTTCTGTCATTATTGTGAGATAGCACAATGTTTGGCACATACTAAATAAATACTAAGTGTGGAATAAATGAATGAATGAGACCTGAAGATGGAGGGGTGTATAGTCTAAATCTTACCTCATCAAAGCATGATATAACTGTATAAAATGCTCCCAATCTATGATTAAATGAAGTATTTAACATTTATGTTATACGTTAAACTAAGTATTTAACAGCAGTATGACATAGCACAACAGTATGAGCTCAATTCTGTTTGAATACTCACCAACTATTCTAATGAGTCGACCTACATTTAGTAAGTGAACTTCTTTTTTAAAAAGTTAACTCAAATAAAGACTCTTAATTATATAACCCATTATATATATATGTATATACATATATTACCCTAGAAAATTATACCTGAACCCTACCTTACTAAAAACATGAAATATTCACATTTCTTCAATTATTAGAGATTTAAGAGAGAATAAAATGACCATGAACCACACAAAATTAAGAATATGGCATTTTCAAGATACTCTTGTATAGCAAATAGAAAACAACGTAGTATTTTATATTCAATTAAGAAGATATATTTCTGACAACTATATTTCTTCAACTAGAATCTATATATTTTTAATGTGCTTCTACAAATTCTTTTTAAATTTGGGATCATTTCCATTTCTTGGCTATCCTTCCCTTACCTTGACTACTTAGAGCCAAGAGCTAATCTTTTACTCTCTATTTTGTATTTAATATTTCCATTATTCTTCCTATTTCAACAATTTTACATTTGGTCATGCATATTCACATATATTCATAATTCAAAAAGTGAAAATTACAGTACATAAATGAGTAAAAATAAAAAATGAAATAACAGATTTATAAATTTGGTATAAAACAAATTCCCATGGTGTAATATCTCTTCCAATTTAACATAATGGATAAATTACAGATTTGTGTGAATTAAGATTCATACAAAATTCTTCCCAAAGGAGAAGAATTTACTTCAATTACCTCTTTTTCCGGTTAAATGTGTTTCTCTTTTCCTCTAGGGCCACAAAAACAGTCTTTAAGGCCAAGTATTTTAAAAATTTTGTTCTAATTTATTAAAAATTTCTATTCATATATTATTAAATCTTGAAACACCAAAATTCATTTGGCATCACGCACTCAATATGTGAATCTGTGTAAAACTACATTTTTTAAAGTAACTGAAATCATAAGCAATTAAGTTCACATTTTCAGGGCTGAATAATATAAACAAATAAATGAATACTTATTAATTTAAAGGCACACAGATATACTTTAAAGGCTGATATAATACGACCTTGTAAGTGTAAACAATTTTCTGGTGGTAAAAGCAATGCTTTATTGAATGTAGCTTTGAAAACTTTTGAAACTATACATTACTAGATTAAGAAATCTCCTATGTTTGTCAGATGTTTTAATAGTCATTTTTTCTAAGATATACACATTCATGTCATTAATTCCAATCATTCTTTACATACTAATTCTCATTAGATAAATATTTGTCCCTGAATACACAAAGGAGGATGTAAATTATACTGAACTTCACTAGTATACTGCATGACCTTGATTCAAAGATTATAAAACTTTGTTGTATTTTCCTTCTTATGAAAAGGTTCCCTTATTATTAATGCTCTCAACAAATAATTTTATTATAAACAAGCTTTATAGCAATAAAATGGTAGAGACTACTTTCAACACATTAATTCGGCAAAAAATTTGTGGTTTAAAATCTTTTTGTTTTTAAAGAAATTGTTCTTTATTTTCCTTTCTTTCTGAGACAGGGTCTTGTTCTGTCACGTAGGCTAGAGTGCAGTGGCACAATCATGGCTCACTGCAGCCTCAAACTTCTATGCTTGAGCATCAGCCTTCCACATAGCTGGGAATAGAGAGACACACCACCATGCCTGGCGCATATATATATATATATATATATATATATATATATAGTGTGTGTGTGTATATATATGTGTGTGGGTGTGTGTGTATATATACATGTATATACACATATATGCACATATATGTATATACCTATATACACGCACACATATACACACACCCATACACATACATACACACACACACACACATATATACACACATATATATATTCTTTGATAGAGATGCTGTCTTTATTTACTGCCCAGGCTAGTCTCAAACTCCTCACTTCAAGCAATCCTCCTGCGTGAGCCTCCCAAAATGCAGGGATTACAGGTATGAGCCACTGTGCCCGGCCTTATTATTTTCTTAAACTGAAAAAGAACTTTTACATAAAAATCAAGAGATGTTATATTTAATGGTGAAACATCAGAAGGGCCATACCATCAGTATCGGAAACTAAAATATGGTGCTAACCATATCACTGTTATTTACTATTTCACTGGAAGCTTAACCCAATACAGTAAGTCGGCTTTAGTTATAAGGGCAAGAGGAAACAAAAGTATCACTTTGTAGATGTTCTGATTGCAAAACCTAAGAGAATTAGCTAAAAATTCATTTTAATGAAGAACAGAAGGTGGCTGAATACATACAAAAATATAAAAATCAAGACATCTTTCACAATAATCTCTAACAATAATCACTTAGAAGTTATACAGAAAAAATCCATACGCAACAACAAAAATGCAAAATACAAAGGAATATTTTTAAAAAGTAATGTATGGAAAGCATATGAACCAAACTACCTAATCTTACTGAGACATAAAAAGAAGATTAGAATAAGAGAAGATACAATCTATGCCCTTAGATTGGCAGACAAAATATTGAGAAGTTTTCAATTCTCCCCAAATTAATTTATGACTTATTACAATTCCAATAGGATTTTTCAGAAACATGACAAAGTATTTACAAAATTTCTGATATAACAAACCCATGAAAACAATAACAATTTTTCAAAAATAAATTTATAATAGGAAACTTCCTCCATAAAGCTACCATAATTAAAATAGCATGGTAAGGTAACAGCACAATATTAGACAAACAGATTAATGGGACAGAAAAAAACTCAGACACTGATGCAATTATATTAAACTAAATGGTTATTCCATGATAGAAATATGTATAAGGAACAGATTAAACAACACATTGTATTAGGAAAATTGATTATCTAAAAAAAAAATACAATTAAGTCCTCACATGTACCATATGTTAAAATAAATTTTTAAATACAGTACAAATAAATTAATTATAATAAGAAGACATATATTTTACAAAGAAGCTTCCATTAGAAAAAAATGATTCACTAAATTTTATTATTTCCAAAAAATGTCTCATTATAGATTCCAATGTATACCTAATGATGAAACCTAATGATGAAACCTTAATCTTCTCTGTTTTACAATGCCAAGTGGGTATTCAGAAAATCTGAAAAGAGGTAAAAATGAAAGCATTTAGACGATGTAAGAAAGCTTTCTAGAGCGAATAGAACCCACTTGGACTTTCAAGCACTACTGAAGTAAAAAGTAGCATGATACTACCCTTGCCTTTAATTTCAAATTCAAACATCTACAATCACAGTAAAGATAATGAAAACACATTTATCTAATCTATTTATTACTTAAAGCTATTTTCTTTGTATCAAACTAGCTTTCTGTTGAGAATACATAATTCTTATTCAGATACTAATATTAATTCATTTCCAATTCATTGTATCAATTAAAATGCCAATTTACATGTCTTATATTCTTGAACACATTCAGGACATAGTGGGTGCTGTGGTTTAAATGTTGTGTCCCACCCAAAAGTCATGTATTAAAACTTAATCCCCAATATGACAGTAGTATGAGGTGAGGACTTTATAATGGATTAATGCCATTATAAAAGAGGCTTCAGAGAGCTGCCTCGCTCTCTCGCTCTCCTTCCCTTCCACCTTCTGTCATGTGAGAATGCAGTAACAAGGTGCCATCAAAAAGGTACCATCAATGAGGTATGGCATGTCACCGGACTCTGAACCTACCAGCACCTTGATCTTGGACTTCTCAGCCTCCATAACAGGGAGAAATATAAATCTCTACTATTTGTAATATAGCCGGTGTGTGGTATTCTGTTATAACAGCACAAATGGATGGACACATTGGGTTACTGCTTATACGATTAGAGAAGACAGTTAACTTCAATCAATTATATGTCCACAGACTACTCCCACAGCTGGCTATAGGTGCAGTGACATGGAACCCTGATGAAAAATAATGTTAGAAAGACACAGCAGAACAAATTCATCTCTTTTTCCCCAAGTATAATTTAAAGTGTAGTCCTTAGTTATAGTAAATCAGTACTGGTACTATAAATACTGAGACTGGCAAATCTTCTTCAGTATGTATTTGGCATACAGCATCATTTCAAATCACATTTCTCTCTTACACATTTTCTCTGTGTTAGGAACATAAAAAGTTTTTCAAATGTAGCAAACTTAAGAAGCAAAAATGGTAACATTCATTAGCTAATGTTAGCAAACCCAGATCTTCTGCCAAGGCTTCAATCACCAACTACAAATACCAATGGAGATTTATATCCTTCTGGCAACTGCACAACATGAGAGTCCTTTTTTGCCTTTTATAAAGTACAGTGCTTCAGAGCATATCGGAAGGCAAACAGCACCCAGTATCACTGTTATACATCTTGTTTCTGTTACTAATCTCATGGCTTGTGAGAGATTGATTTTAAGATGGTCTTTCTCACTCTCCCAGATTCAAGCCTTTCCATGCTCCCTTTTCTATAAACTCCTAGGTAAGAATATATTTGGATACACACTGTTCTCTCCTTTTAATCTCTGCTTTTAGATTAAGCACATAGGACATATTTTAGACCCTATATACAGCCTTCTCCTTAGAATGTAACCCTAGAATAATGAACCTAAGGTTCCTTTAAAAATGTTCTCTACCAAACTACAAATGACTGCTCAAGGAAATCAGAGAAGACATAAACAAATGGAAAAACATTGCATGCTCATGGATAGGAAGAATCAATTAGCATGAAAACGGCCATACTGCCCAAAGTAATTTATAAATTCAGTGCTATTCCCATTAAACTACCATTTGACATTCTTCACAGAATTAGAAAAAAACTACTTTAAAATTCATATGGAATCAAAAAAGAGCCTGTATAGCCAAGACAATCCTAAGCAAAAAGAACAAAGCTAGAGGCGTCATGCTACCCAAATTCAAACTATACTACAAGGCTACAGTAACCAAAACAGCATGGTACTGGTACAAAAACAGACACACAGACCAATAAGACAGAACAGAGATCTCAGAAATAAGACCACACATCTAGAACCATCTGCTCTTCGACAAGGATTCCCTATTTAATAAATCGTGCTGGGAAAACTGGCTAGCTATATGCAAAAAATTGAACCTGGACCCCTTCCTTACACCCTATACAAAAATTAACTCAAGATGGAATAAAGACTTAAAAATGTAAAACCCCAAACTATGAAACCCTAGAAGAAAATCTACGCAACATCATTCAGAACATAGACAAGGGGAAAGATTTCATAACAAAAACATCAAAAGCAATTGCAACAAAAGCAAAAATTGACAAATGGGATCTAATTAAACTAAAGAGCTTTTGCGCAGCAAAAGAAACTACCATCGGAGTGAACTGACCACCTACAGAATGGGAAAACATTTTCAAAATCTATCCATCTGACAAAGGTCTAATATCCAGAATTTACAAGGAACTACAAACGAATTTACAAGAAAAAAACAACCCCATTTAAAAGTGGGCAAAGGACATGAACATATACTTCTCAAAAGAAGACACTTATGCGGCCAACAAACAGGAAAAAAAAGCTCAACATCACTGATCATTAGAGAAATGCAAATCAAAACCACAATGAGATACCATCTCAAGCCAGTCAGAATGGTGATTACTAAAAAGTCAAGGAACAACAGATGCTGGCAAGGCTGTGGAGAAATAGGAACACTTTTACACTGTTGGTGGGAATGTGAATTAGTTCAACCATTGTGGAAGACAGGGTGCTGATTCCTCAAAGATCTGGAACCAGAAATACCATTTGACCCAGCAATCCCATTACTGGGTATATACCCAAAGGAATATAAGTCATTCTATTATAAAGATACATGCACGTGTACATTCACTGCAGCACTGTTCACAATAGCAAAGACATGGAACCAACCCAAATGCCCATCAATGATAGACTGGAAATGTGGTAGATATACACCATGGAATACTATGCAGCCATAAAAAGGAATTAGATCATGTCCTTTGTAGGGACATGGATGGAGCTGGAAGCCATTATCCTCAACAAACTATCACAGGAACAGCAGCCCAAACACTGCATGTTCTTACTTATAAGTGGGAGCTGAACAAAGAAAACACATGGACACAGGAAGGGGAACACCACACAATGGGGTCTGTAGAGGGGGTTATGGGGAGGGAGAGCATCAGGATAAACAGCTAATGCATGTGGGGCTTAATACCTAGGTGAAGGGTTGATAGGTGCAGCAAACTACCATGGCACACATTCACCTATGTAACAAACCTGCATGCCCTGCACATGTATTCCAGAACTTAAAATAATTTTTTTTAAAAAGTTCTCTTCCTATACTGAATACCCCAATTATATTATATTATATTATATTATATTATATTATATTATTATTAATTTACTTATTATTTTCTTCTAACCTGCATTTTCCATCATATCACACTGACTGGCCCAAGTCTTATAAGCACTTTGATCAGCTACTACCCACAATCCAAGAAATGCTGGCCTATAAAGCTTCAGCAGAAACAAAGCATTTGTAAATATTTCACAAAATTTTTAAAATAAGATTTAATATATAATCAATATTTCTAAAACTATTAATGACTATTTTACATTTTTTAATTTGTACTAAGTCTTTGAAATTTTGTATGTTTTTTAGATGTACAACACATCTCAATTTAGACTAGCTTCATTTCAAATGCTCAACAGCCATGTTGAAGAGTGACTACTGTATTAAACAGTGCAAGTTTAAGAAGATTCTTCTAGAAGGCAAAGAGTACAGTATTCCCTTGATTCTTCTATCTTTAACAGGATTCTTCTACAGCTTTGATTTTTACTGGGCAGCTTGGTTCAATATAAAATTCTTATTCCTTCAGTTACCTGAAAATACTGCACCACTATTGAATTCTGTATTGCTATGTGGACGTCTGATGCTAATCTGACTTTCTTTCCTCTTTTTTTTTTTTTTTATTTGAGACTGAGTCTTGCTCTACCGCCCAGGCTAGAGTGCAGTCACGCAATCTCTGCTCACTGCAACCTCCGTCTCCCGGGCTCAAGCAATTCTCATGCCTCAGCCTCCCAGGTAGCTAGGATTACAGGCATGCATGACCAGACTCGGCTAATTTTTGTATTTTTAGTAGAGACGAGGTTTTGCCATATTGGCCAGGCTGGTCTCCAACTCCTGACCTCAAGTGATCCGCCCACCTTGGCCTCCCAAAGTGCTGGGATTACAGGTGTGGGTCACCATGCCTGGCCTTTCTTTCCTTTGTAAATAATATTTTTGCATGGAGGCCTTGAGGATTTTTTCCTCTGTATTTGTTTTTATCTTTAAAGTCTAAAAGTTTTCCTACACTATGTCTTTCAGTTGACTGTTTCAGGTCAATTTTCACAAGTATATGGTGGGCCCTTTCAAAAAACAGATTCTGGTCTTCCTTTACTTTTAGAAACTTTGTACTTTTAAATACTATCTCTGTTTCACCATTTTGTTTTCCTTCTTCTGAATTCCAATTGCATGTATGTTGGATCTTTTTGACTATCTTCTGTATTATAATCTTTTCTCTGATCCTTTGTCTTCTCAGTTGCCTGTTTGCATCTCTTTCCTCAATGCCCCTTTTTAAATTTTCAATCACCTCTATTCTTCCTTGGGCACCTTGAAATTTAGTCTTAATTTTTAAAGCAATTTTGTCATTTTCTTCAATTTCTTCTGGTCAACTCTAGTTTCACATCTTCCTGGTGTTCACTTTGGTTCTAAGTTTCTGAATTTATAACTTGAAGGTTTCTTCTCTTCATATCTGCAAAGGCTTATTTAAGAATATTTAATATAGGTCATGGTGTTCTGTTAATGATAACTGCAACACAGATGGCTTAGATGGAAAATTTTTAATAGCTAAAATGTTTTTATTCTTATTTTCTGCTTTCTTTTTTGTAGCACCTATGTATGTATCTTATCTGAAATTTCCTATTCAGTGTATAATTTTTTATTTTCCTTGACTAGTAATAAAAATTGAATGCAGTAAGGGCAACAATTTGGGATAAATATCCAGGATTTTTAGTTCAAATGCTCCCTCTTCTGAACTGAGACCAAAGTGGGGTAATTAGTATGTCTTCTGATTTTGTGGTTTCCTTATTTCTACAGAACACTTCATTTCTCCCTCTTGCTTCTTTCTTTTCATCACCAAGTATATAAAGGTGAACAACTCCATCCCCAAAGTGGTGCTTTCCTGACCTGTCACCTGGAGTCCATGCACTTTTAAGTAGCCAATGTTAGAATCTAATCTAAGACCAGATCGCACTATTTTCCTACTAGGGTAGGAATTTTTTTCTTTCTAAAGGTAATTTTCATTGTGTGCTATTACCCTTGGGCTCCTGGTTCCCCATTTCCCTCTCCTCTTGTCCATGTGGTCTCTGGAGTCTTAACTCTCCCTGCAGTGGTCTCTGAAGCTGAGTAGGCTAGATTTGGATATTTATTTATCTCTGTAATAATTTGAAGTCTGTCTCCTAGTTATGCTGGAGACAAAGAATATTGTTAGTTGGTTTTATCTCTTTGTGGATCTGTGTGGACTTTTAGAGAATGCATGGAAAGATACAGATTTAGGAGGCCACCACCATCCTATGGCAATCCAGGAGTCTCAACCCATCAGGAATTGTCAATGTCTTTTTAGTTGACACTTTAGTTGAGAATCTCCTATATTCTCCAAATGCTGTCTTTATTTGGTAAAAACTGAATCTTCACTACTTCATAAGGAGCACCAGTGCTAAGCCCTCATGGACAATGAACACAATCACTAAAAGAGGTATACAATATGAAAAAAAGTAAAGAAGGTAAAAAAAAATAATAATAATGAATTCAGTTCGCAAAAGAAATACATCACTTCTGTGGAACATTTGATAACACTAGATAAAAAGGTAAAAATCTCTTCAAGATACTACTATGAAAGAATAAAATAATAATTTTTCATCTCTACTAAAACAGCAGGAGTATGTTCAGAGATTGCAAATACAGGAAAAAAAAAACAGTTGATAATAAGAACTCTCTTACTTAGGAAGTAACTTTGCTACCTGAAAGTAAGTCTGTTCAAAAATAGTAAATGCATAAAGCTGACTAAAGCAAATGACAACAAAAGTTTTTACTGCTAGACAAGACTCATGGAGTAATCTAGATTAACACCTTCTGTACATAAAGGCATACCTCAGAGATATTGTGAGTTTGGTTCCAAATCACTTCAATAAAGTGACTATAAAGCAAATCACACCAGTTTTTTTTGTTTGTTTGTTTTTTGTTTTTTGGTTTCCCAATAGATATAAATGTTATGTCTACAGGCTGGGCACGGTGGCTCATGCTTGTAATCCTAGCAGTTTGGGAGGCCAAGGAAGGTGGATCACCTGAGGTCAGGAGTTTAAGACCAACCTGGCCAACATGGGGAAACACCATCTCTACTAAAAATACAAAAAATTAGCTGGGTGTGGTGGTGGGCATCTGTAATCCCAGCTACTCAGGAGGCTGAGGCAGGAGAATCATTTGAACATGGGAGGAGGAGGTTGCAGTGAGCCAAGATCGTGCCACTGCACTCCAGCCTGCGTGACAGTGCAAGACTCCGCCTCAAAAAAAAAAAAAAAGTTCTGTCTACACTATACTGTAGTCTACTGAGTGTGCAAGAGCATTATGTCTAAAGAAACAATGTACACAGCTTGCTTTAAAAAATATTTTATTGCTAAAAGATGCTAGCGATCATCTGAGCCTTCAGTAAGTCATAACTTTTTGCTGCTGGATGATCTTTCCTCAATGCTGAATGTTGCTGACTAACCACCACCTAATCAGGGTGCTGGTTGCTGAAGGTTAGGTGGCTATGTCAACTTCTTAAAATAAGACAAAGTTTATCATCCTGATTGACTCTTCCTTTCACAAAAGATACCCGTAGCATGCAATGCTGTTCGATAGCATTTCACCTATAGAACTTCTTTAAAACCTGGAGTCAATTCTTTCAAACCCTGTCAATGTTTTATCAACTACGTTTATGTAATATTCTAAATTCTTTGTGTCATTTCAATGTTCACAGCATCTTCACCAGGAGTAGATTCCATCTCAAAAAACCACTTTCGAGGCCAGGCGCAGTGGCTCATGTCTGTAATCTTAGTACTTTGGGAGGCAGGGGCAGGTGGATCACAAGGTCAGGAGTTCGAGACCAACCTGGCCAATATGGTACTAAAAACACAAAAATCAGCCAGGCATGGTGGCGCGTGCCTGTAGTCCCAGCTGCTCGGGAGGCTGAAGCAGAAGAATCACTTGAACCTGGGAGGTGGAGGTTGCACTGAGCTGAGATCGTGCCACTGCATTCCAGCCTGGGCGACAGAGTGAGACTCTGTCTCAAAAAAAAAAACCAAAGCAAATAAAAAAAAAAACCACTTTCTTTTCTCATCTATAAGAAGTGACTCCTCATCTGCCCAAGTTTTATCGTGAGATTATAGCAATTCGGTCACATCTTGAAGTGCCACTTCTAATTCTAGTTTTCCTGCTATTTCTACCACATCTACAGTTACTTCATCCACTGGTTTTGAACTACTCAAAGTCATCCATAATAGAGGGAATTAACTTGTTCCAAATTCCTGTTAATGTTGATATTTTCATGCTACTATAAAGACACATGCACACGTATGTTTATTGCAGCACTGTTCACAATAGCAAAGACTTGGAACCAATCTGAATGTCCATCAATGATAGACTAGATAAAGAAAATGTGGCACATATACACCATAGAATACTATGCAGACATAAAAAAGGATGAGTTCATCTCCTTTGCAGGGATACAGAAGAAGCTAGAAACCATCATTCTGAGCAAACTATCACAAGGACAGAAAACCAAACACTGCATGTTCTCACTCATAGGTGGGAATTGAACAATGAGAACACTTGGACACAGCGGGGGGAACATCACACACCAGGGCCTGTCGTAGGGTAGGGGGCTGGGGAAAGGATAGCATTAGGAGAAATACCTAATGTAAATGACAAGTTAATGGGTGCAGCAAACCAACATGGCACATGTATACCTATGTAACAAACCTGCATGTTGTGCACATGTACCCTAGAACTTAAAGTATAATAAAAAAAAAGTTGATATTTTGACCTTCTCCCATGAATCATGAATATTCTTAATGGCATCTAGAATGGTAAATCCTTTCCAGGTTTTCAATTTAGTTTGCCCAAATCCACCAAAGAAATCACTATCTATGGCAGCTATAGCCTTATGAAATGTATAATAAGGCTTCGAAATTATTCCTTCATCCACGGATGTTGTGTTAACAGGCACAAAAATAACATTTATCTCCATGTACGTCAGAGCTCTTGGGTGACCAGGTGCATTGTCAATGAGCAGTAATATTTTGAAAGGGATCTTTTTTTTCTGAGCAGTATGTCTCAACAGTGGGCTTAAAACATTCAGTAAACCATGCTGTAAATAGATGTGCTGTCATCCAGACTTTGTTTTCCATTTTCAGAGAACAGGCAGAGAAATTTAGCATCATTCTGAAGGGCCCCAGGATTTTCAGAATGGTAAATGAATGCTGGCTTCAACTTAAAGTCACCAGCTGCATTAGCCCCTAATAAGAGAGTCAGCCTGTCCTTTGAAGCCAGGCATTGACCTCTCCACCCTAGTTATAAAAGTCCTAGGTGGCATCTCTTCCAATACCAAGCTGTTTCATCTATACTGAAAATCTGTTGTTTAGCACAGCCTCCTCCTTCATCAATGATTTTAGCTAGATCTTGTGGGTAACTTGCTTCAGCTTCTCCATCAGCAGCTGCTGCTTCATCTTTCACTTTCAGTGTTGTGAAGATGACTTCTTTCCTTAAACCTCATGAACCAACCTCTGCTAGTGTCCAACTTTTCTTAATGCAGTCTCCTCACCTCTCGGCCTTCTCAGAACTGAAGACAATCAGAGCCCTGCTCTGGATTAGGACATGGGAATGTTGTGGCTAGTATGATCCTCTAACCAGAGCGCTCAAAGTTTCTTCCTATCAGTAATAAGGCTGTTTAGACTTCTTATCATTCATGTTTTCAGTGGAGTAGAACTTTTAATTTCCTTCAAGAACTTTTCCTTTGCATTCACAACTTGGCTAACTGGCTCAAGAAGCCTAGCTTTTGGCCTATCTTTGCTTTCAACCTGCCTCCGCTTTCGACATGCTTTCCTCAATAAGCTTAATCATTTCTAGCTTGTGATATAAAGTGAGAGAGATGTGACTCTTCCTTTCACTGGAACACTTACAGGCCACTGTAGGATTATTAATTGGTCTAAATTAAACATTGTGTCTCATGCAATAGGGAGGCCTGAGGAGAGGAATAGAGATGGGGAGTAGGGGGTACGGCATAGCTAGTTGGTGGGGCAGTCAGACAGACACAATATTTATCAATTAAGTTTACCATCATACATGGGCATGGTTCACGGCACCCCAAAACAATCACAATAGTAACATCAAAGATCATTGACACAGATTACCAAAGTAGATATAATAATAATGTCTGAAATGTTGCAAGAATTACCATAATGTGACACAGATACACAAAGTAAGCACAAGGTGTTGGAAAAATGGCACTGAAAGACTTGCTCAACTTAGGGTTGCCATAAACCTTCAATTTGTAAAAAATACAGTATTTGTGAAGCTCAATAAAGTAAAGCACAATAAAATGAAGTTTGCCTATAATTACGTATGCTTAGCATTGTAGCCTAGAAGGGAGCCAAAAATCAATACAACAAATGAAATAAAGAACAAGGGCTAGCAAATTACCTTAGGGCTAGAAAATAAAGCAAGAATTCAACATGTGAGTGAATATTATCATAGAAGATTAGAGATGTGGAACTAGACATTAAATGCTTTTTTTCTTTAAAGACAAGTAAACACGCAGTATCTCACAGAGTTGTTCTATAAAAAATAAACAATTACGTGACTCTCGTATGAAATGGGAATTGCCATCAAGCAAGAAACTAAGTTAAATACAAAAAAAAAAAAAAGAGAACGAGGCAGGGGAAGACAGCTTACTTCTTCAGGGAGAGAGTTTAAAGCTGTATGGCACACTTTATGGTCCCCCCGGCAACACAAAATGGTCTTCATCCTCAAAATGGAATAAAATGGATAGAATTTTTATTACAAATAGAATGTTAATTTTTCTTGCCTTTGGGACTTTAATTTAAACTAATAGTTTCTCTTGCAAGGTGATTTAGATGCCACATTCTCCAAAGACAATTCCTGTCTTAATGTTTGGGGATGAAAATAGGTGGCCTATTGTTTTACATTTCCAAATAACCATAAAATAGAGTAACCATACTACAATCAAATAAGCATTTACTGAGAATCTTCTAACTATAATCTGAATCAAAAGAGACCAAAATAAACAGAAGCTGATTTCTTGGCTGGTAGCCTTCACACATTTACTAAAAACATTTTAAAACTGAGATCTGATGTATTTATATGAGTGAATGAATGACTTTATATTAATTTAGATCATAGATTTACACAAAATGCTTGCTTAAACAAAATGTTTTCATAAAATCTAGTAAGTATTCAAATCTTCTTGTCTCTTAAGATAGACACATATAGTATAAACGTTACAGAGAGAAATACTGCCAATGGTAAAAAAAGAAAACCACTCTAAAGCCATACATCAAAGTAAAAATTCTAATTTCAGATTACAGTCATTTGTAATATGCAATTCAAATGCACTAAATCACACAGTGTAAAAATTTCAAAAGCATTATTTTGTTCCTTTCAGAGATAACCTTTCCAGTAACAGGGTAATAGACTGTAAAATAAAATTTTGTTTATATTTCCATTACATACATTACCATCTTATATTTGTACAGAATGGAGAAATCTTTCTTTCCTGATCAGGTGCAATTATGGTACAGTTGTTATTTTTAGTTAAAACACCTGACACTAAGGAAGAATTATGAAACGAGAAGCTCTCTGTGTTTTTGTTGTTGTTGTTGTTGTTGTTGTTGTTTAAAAAGCAAGTACAGATTCTTCTAAGTTAAATGTTTTATAATTTTACATTTAGGAGGACAGAAGTAGCAATGGCTCAATCACCTTATTCAAGGAAGAACTGTAGAAAATTAACATCTCACTAATATATTTTACTTTTTCTTGTTAAAAAGGCATATGCTGACTTTATAAAGTGTATCAATAAATGCCTATAAAATACATATATCACTTTATAGTTCAAGAAAAACAGGCTTATCCACTTTAATAAAAATTTAGAGCTATTTTTATTAAAGAAAAAACAAAAATTTAAAACACAATGTTAAAACCTAGCTTCTTGGAATGATTTCACATTACATGAACTCAGCAAAAAGCTTCACTTTATTCAGATTACAATTTTTTATTTTGTAAATCAAGAGTTCAAATCCAAACTCTGGCTTCTTCCAGAGCAAGGCAAATAAGCTTATTAATCTGTTACCTCATCCTTTAAATGGTGATAATAATACCTACCTCATGGGACTATAGGAAAGATTAGATAGTGGCTATAATCCCCAGCCCAGTGCTAAACATACAGTAAGTGATCCAATGACAGGTGTCAAAGACTGAACATCTGCATGAACTCCTTTTTCCAATTCTTCTTTGTCAGTAGTCTTAGGCTTGAGGGCATTTATAAATTTTGTTTCAGATTGTTAACAAGACATTCCTTTTGTTCCCTTCCTGGGGCATCATTAGTTAAATTGGTGAGAGTTTATTGTTTTAATACCTTGTGGTTACGTGGCCTTAACATTTTGTGATACACAATTTCACAAGACCATTTTCAACAAAAGGTACAGTGAATAAGTCCGCAATGGGCTTATTCTAATGTAAGCTAATTTAATCTAATAATTATGAACTTCTCAGTGTTTCTTAAATCTGTTCTTTTAAAAGCTATACACTTTTTACTCCCTTTTTTCTTCATTTCCCTTCAACTTCATCTCTTTGTCTTCCAGTCTTCCTAGGAGACAAATGGGCAACCTCTACAGATGACCAAGAATATGACCCTTCATGTCCTTCAGTATCTAAAGCAAATGGTCTATTTAAAAGTTTACTGTCTAACAGAGAAAAAAAGTGTTGCTGAAAACAGACGAAGGTTATAATAAAACAACTGTTCAAAAAAATATACCTGAGATACTCAATTTACTTAGGTTAATTATGTTACTGTGTAAAGCTGCCTATACAGGCACATGTAAAAAAAAATCAGGTCATCGTGTGGTTCTTCCTAGTTTCTAGACCAGTGCTATCCATAAGAATTTTCTGTGATCATGGGAATATTTTATATCTGTGATCCCCAAGAGAGTGGTCATCTGCCAAATATAACTACTGAGAAGTGAGACTAAGGAACTTCCTTTTACATTTTATTTACTTGTATTAAATTTAAATAGCCACATGTGTCCACTAAAATGGATAGCAGGCTTAGACGTTCTCCTTTCCTGTCCTTTTTCTTTACCATTTTGAGCCTTATCTGGATGCTCTTATTGAACTCCTTGTTTCAAATCTCTTCCTGTTATCTCTATGATTAAACAGCATGACAGTTGTAATCTAAAATAATTACTGAAAAATAATTTTAAAAGCTAGCTCTAAAATGTGCTTTTTTGATGAAAAGTACTGCAATCAATTATTTTAGATTTTTCTAATCAAGGTTTACTAAAAAATAAAAAAAACATATATCAATAAGTGTTGAAACCTTACAATTAAAACCTTAACAATATATACGTTCCCCTCCATTCTTTGTCAGCTACATAATTAGTTTCAGGATAGGACAAGAGCATAATTAAAAACAAGTACAGAAAAAACCACAGCACAACCAAGCAGAATTAAGATAACAAATGAAAATCACTCTATACTGATCTATTAATGGTGATAATACAGAAATTAGTGACTAGAAATAGGATAAATAAAATGCAACACAATGGTCAATGAAGAACTGTGCAGTTTCTATCTCTAGCATTATTTATCACATCAAAGATAAAATCCTACCCCAATTTCAAAAGATTTTTGATGACTTCTAATGGTTCCTTCCAAATTTATCTATGCATACATATTATTTTAAGGTACAATTATTTTAAAATATGATAAGATTCCAAAAAAATGTTAAGTGTTTTAAGCTCCCCCTCTGTTTCTCCTCTCTCTCCCTCCCCACTCTCCCCACATATAAAACAATCTATTTTTAAAGCACAGATGTAGGTGCTAAGAAAAACAACTACGATGCTTGACTGTTAGAAATGAAACAATGGCCTCTCTCTGGGACTGGTATTAATGTCATCACCACCCATCAATTCCTCCTTTCTTTGCCTATCAGCTTGGCTTTGAGGATCTTGCGGGGGCGTGGAGGGAAGTAGGAGGGTAGAACATGTAAAACAATCTCAGTATTCAGGGATATGATTCAAAAGAATTCAAGTTATATGAATACAAAGTTATGTGCTTAACTACATACCAGTTTCTGAATGACTACTGATTTGATTTTCTTCTTTGGAATTTGAGTAAACATAATGAAACTTACTATTTTGAGCCAGGGCTTGAAGCAGACAATCCAAGCATCCTTCTAAACTATCCTCAGTCTTGTCAACAGCTGTTATCTTCAGCTTCTTCAAGGTATCACTGAGATTATCTGCTTAAAGAAAAAAAAAAATCAGAAACTCAACCTTATGACCACCATATGTTACATGACAAAAGGATAAACAGTTACCACTAAACTGGAGAGCTTCCTATAATAGCAAATTAACCTCCACGTACATTCCAAAATGGCATTAGACTGTACTATTAAAAAAATTTTAAATGCACTTTGTTCACTTAACTCAGATATGAAATATTCATTCTGCTATGTGTAAGATACCAGGAATATTCCAAATATTATCAAAGAACATCTTTTTTCCATATTCTTATAACTTATTGAGCTTGTTCAGGAAAGCATCTATGGCTTAGAAAAATTAAATGTTCATAAAAAATTATATAGTTTTACAAACATTTTATTTCATTGTTCACTTCCTCTGTTGTACATTAAAGACATAAAAAATGAAGGTTTAGAAAAATTTCAAAATAATATGATTCCAAATAATACAAAGTGTGATAACTACAAAACTTACACTGTCATTTCAAAAATACTTCACATCAAAGTACTGCTTTAAGCCCTAACATGCATATTTTGGATTATAAAGCTATGCTTTCTTCCTAAATTATATGTGAATTCCTCTAGATCACAGATTCTCAAAACCTCTTTACACTATTAAAAGTTATTGAGAATCCCAAAGAGCTTTTGTTTATATTATTGCTATAGACATTTAACATACTACAAAATCAAAACTGAGACTTTTTAAAATTATTTAGTAATTTACTTAAATGTAACAATTATAAACCTACTGCACATTAACATAATTAGCATTTTAATGAAAAAAATTATTTCCTAACAAAAAAATTTAGCAAGAAGAATAGCATTGTTTTTTTTTTTTCTTTTATTATACTTTAAGTTCTGGCTTACATCTGCAGAACATACAGTTTTGTTACATAAACATGTGCCATGGTGGTTTGCTGCACCCATCAACCTATCACTTACATAAGGCATTGTTTTACATTTTTAGAAATTTCATCCAGGCCCGGTGGCTCATGCCTGTAATCCCATCACTTTGGGAGGCCAAGGTGGAAGGATCACTTGAGGCTAGGAGTTTGATACCGGCCCGGGCAACAAAGTGAGTCCTCTTCTCTAAGAAAAATAAAAATAAAAAAATTAACTGCATATGGTGGCATGTGCCTGTATTCCCAGCTACTCAGGAGGCTGCAGTGGGAGGATCACTTAAGCCTGAGGAGTTTGAGTCTACAGGGAGCTAGGATTGCTCCACTGCACTCTAACCTGGGTGGCAGAGCAAGACCCTATCTCTTAAAAAAAAAAAAGGAAAAAAAAAAAATCTCCATAATGTGGTTCAACAGAAGATGACTGGACTCTCGTATCTTCTTCTGTATTCAATCTTGGTTAATATGCTGTTTTGGTTTGAATAGATGAAGAAAATTTAGTCTCAATATATACGTAGTTGGAAAACACGTGAGTATTTTAACAGCCTTTTCAGATAATTGCGGATATTCACTGATATACTAAAACTGGACACCTGGCAGTTCCTTAAAGGTTAGTTGCCCTGCTAAGCCGAAACAATATGAAAGCTTCCATTTTCCAGAAGAGGAAAGATTTATCTGATTTATCTGATTAAGGCTGAGGACTACTGGACATGTATGGCTCAACCCCTTCTGCATTCCTGTTATTTTAGAAACAACAAGAATTTTCTGTTCTACACCTGTGGCTGTCCAGGTGTACAGTGACAAAATGAGTAAATATGTATAATTCAGCAGTAAATTACTAGTAATCCCATTGTGACTCTACAAATAGAGGCCTTAACTCTAGACTTTATTAATTTTAAAGCAGATATTTTAAATTCTAGCAGACGACTCATATGCTTATATCTCCAGTGGTTCTAAGCTTGGGTAAGAAACAGAGGATATTATTTTTGTACTCCTTCAAACCATGACAGTAAATTTCAGTAGTAAATCCTTAGCATCCAAATTACTTTTTGTGTAATTCCAGAGAGCTGTATTTTACATTTCCTTAAAAGCACTGAAATTGTTCTAATGAAAATTTGTCAGCCTCTGGCTGGTAATGAGGCAGTAAGTAGAGATAGAAATGGAGAAGTATTAACAAATAAAATAAAATTTTTTCTTAAAACAATTTCTTTCCTATATATCAACATATGGTCTAGTTCGTCTTGTGAAATATGTGACATCTTCAAAGGGTTAAAGCAAAGTTGACTTGGTCATTAAAATTCTGAGTCTCCCACTTCTTACCCACTCAATCGCTCCTTAAAACCTGATCTAACCAAGTCCTCTAAAAGCCTATCAAAATTACTCTGTCAAAGGTTTTAAATGATATCTTGACAAAGCCAATGAATTTTTCTCAATCCTCTTGTTTGATATCTCTGTAGCAATAGACAGTTTTTCCATTTCTGAAACACCTCTTAACTTAGAAACATCAGTCTAAACACTTGTTTTTGGTCTTCTTCAATAGATCTTCCTTCTCTATCTGCCCCTTTAATATTAGTGTGACCCCAGTTGTGCACAGAGCCTCTTCTCTTCCTGAATAATATATGCATGCCCTTCAGAATATTAGGATGGTATGCTCTTTCCTTCTGTCCTCCCTTCTTTTATTCAGCTGGACAGACCACTTGCTTTATGTCCCTATCAATATAAAGAATTACCACATTTTAGGCCTTGATACATTTGGATAAAACCTGATGCAACTTCTGGTAACCGTGAACAGCTAACTATCATTCCTCGCATTTCTCAAAAGTCTCTGTTAAAGACAAACAGCTATACTTTCCCACTAAAACCTTCAAACTTTGCCAAGCCTTTTTTTTCTTTTATCTTAGGCACCAGAGGCTCTTTATGCTCCAACCTCTCTTCTATAAACCAGAAACAAATTATTTACTGGTCTGTAAGTACTTGCTGCAATGGAAGAGTTTTCATAAGACCTAAATTTTTAGCTATCAGTTCCTTTCTTAACATCAATCTAAGAAAAACTAATGAGGAAAGTGATGCTGTTTTAATATTTAAATAATTTGACCATAAAAGTACTTAAGATCATCACCAACAACAAAGAATACACTTGACTGTGAAGAAAGGACTGTCCCAAAGAACAAATCTCAAGACAGTGTCATGTTAAACTAGGAAGTCATGAAATTCTTTATGTTATTTGTGGTGGCATTTTTCAGTTTATCTTCCTCACAATATTATTCAGAAATGGTAGCTTTATTTTCAAGGTTATTGGATCTAAAACTTCATACTTTTAAATGTTAATCAATTCTATCACTTTACTATATGCCAGTAAGTAGATACATGGGTATATAGATAGATATGTGTTTGTTATCTTTGGACAATTATACCATTGCTGATGATAAAACCGACAGGAGACAAGTACACAAGAACTGCTAACTGAGCTTGTAAAAGTTCAAGACATTTTTACCTCACTTCAAATGTCACTCAATTTTTTTCTGTATCTATTATTTTCACATAACTATCTAGTAACAAAGCTTTACTTTGAAAGCATCACTATCCACATCAAATCCAAAAAAAAAAATATTTCTGTGCTAATGTGGTTTTCAAGTACCTAGAATACAGCCAATGCATGAATGGAAGAATTTCAAGTTTATCTCAAAATGAATGGCATTAAGTCAATTTGGGGCACCTGGCTTAGCAGCTGGAAATAATAGCAATCTCTCTTGAATATTATGTTTTACTTATCTAAAGGGTTTAGTATCTGACAGAATGAAGCTATTTTTAAAAGCTTCTCTAATGAAGTAGGAATAGTAGTTTCTGTTAGCATGTCAAGTGGAAAGGACTGTGTTTAAAAATTATAATATTTTCAGTTTTACTATGTTGTATTTTCAGTTTCCTACTTTTCTTTCTTTTTTTTTTTTTTTTTTTTTGTTTACCAGAGCTGGTCCTAAACCGATCAGAAACTTTTACAACTCACATTATGCCATCTCCCATTACTTTCTCACACAACATCATGTGTGTCAGTCCCACCACATTATTGGCTTTTTCCCAAGCACACTTTCATTTTCACAATTGTGAGAATTAAATTCTTTTCTAAAATTCCTTTCTGTGCATTTTCCACATCTAGCATGGCTACTTACTTGGCGAAGTCAACTAATATGCCAAGTCTTGCATGAAGCTTTCTGTATTCCTGCAGTCAGAGGAACCTTCCTTTTCTAGGCTCCCACATTTTGTTTATACCTTGATAAACATGAAAGTTTCTATTTTTATATAGATTCTTTAATGTTAAATTTATTCCAAAAGATTTTAGAATTTTGTGATTGCTGAGAATTAAATAAGTTGTCCCATTTTCATGGGTAGGTGACATATCTACAGTAAAAAAAGGGCTACCTTGTATAATTATCACATATTCAGTCACCATTCAAATTATCTTACTTCTTAGCAAGCTAAAAAAGTTTAAGCACAAAAATCATGCCTCTTGATCTTGGAACATATCCCTGTGGATAAAGGGGGACTACTGTATTATAATCAAATTCTCCAGTTATTCCCCATTTCACTGACTTCTAATGATATGAAAAAAAATCATGCTTCTCTTCACTGCTGCTGCGGCTACAGATGCTTGCTGTTAAGATATAAACAGACACTTCTCAAAAGAAGACATTTATGCAGCCAACAGACACATGAAAAAATGCTCATCATCACTAGGCCTTAAGAGAAATGCAAATCAAAACCACAATGAGATACCATCTCACACCAGTTAGAATGGCGATCATTAAAAAGTCAGGAAACAACAGGTGCTCGAGAGGATGTGAAGAAACAGGAACACTTTTACACTGTTGGTGGGACGGTAAACCAGTTCAACCATTGTGGAAGTCAGTGTGGTGATTCCTCAGGGATCTAGAACTAGAAATACCACTTGACCCAGCAATCCCATTACTGGGTATATACCCAAAGGATTATAAATCATGCTGCTATAAAGACACATGCACACGTATGTTTACTGCGGCACTATTCACAATAGCAAAGACTTGGAACCAACCCAAATGTCCAACAATGATAGACGGGATTAAGAAAATGTGGCACATATACACCATGGAATACTATGCAGCCATAAAAAACGATGAGTTCATGTCCTTTGTAGGAACATGGATGAAGCTGGAAACCATCATTCTCAGCAAACTATGGCAAGGACAAAAAACCAAACACCGCATGTTCTCACTCATAGGTGGGAACTGAACACTGAGAACACATGGACACAGGAAGGGGAACATCACACACTGGGGCCTGTTGTGGGATGGGGGTAGCGGGGAGGGATAGCATTAGGAGATATACCTATTGTTAAATGACGAGTTAATGGGTACAGCACACCAACATGGCACATGTATACATATGTAACAAACCTGCATGTTGTGCACATGTACCCTAAAACTTATAGTAAAAAAAAGAAAAACAAATAAGAAAACTGAGAGCTTAGAAAAAGTATTTAAAGTTTAATCATTTATCACTACCTTCATAATTATTACTTGGTCCCAATAAAATTGAAAATTAAAAAGAATATGAAACTAATGTGAATGTGCTACTTTGATAAATTAGTTTCCACGATGAAGTTCCACAGATGCAAGATCTAACAGGAATGTACCTAAATACTAAATATGTTTTGTGAACATACATTATGTACACATGATCTGAAAAAAAAAATATCTGAGCAAAAAAGTAACTGTTCAGGTGCATGTGTGCAATATTTCAAAGGCAATTCATGCAGTACTTGGATAATTAGAAATATTTCTAATATTTGAAGAGAAACAAAAGAGCTAAAAACTATTCTATTTAATGAAAACTCCAAACTATATTTCATAAATGTTACACACCTAACTTCTACCTTAATCCATGAATTTATTACTTTAACATGTAGTCATACCTATTCATATACATGGTCTTTGCTCCCAGTATGACTCTCCAGGTTGCAATGACATTGTAACTCTGTGCCTATTCACCACTTACACACACATCTATCCACTAGATACACCTCTTTTGTTCCAGGTTAATTATAATTCATTACAAGATTTCATAAAATATAAGGGCTTATATGAATGTAATCAACCTGTCCTATGTGTGAGTCAAGCAGTTTGAACTCTACACCAAGTGGTTAAATCCCAAAATTAAACTTCATCAATAAGTTTGTAATCTATTTATGAGATTATTTTTGTAGAATTTTATACAGTTTTATTTTTTCTGTATTTTTCATTTTGTTAGTTTTATAGTTCTAGGTACATAGAACCCTACTTGTATAGTTCTACTATTAGATTGAAAATTCCTCTAGGACAGGAAATTATGCTAGGATACTCATACTACTCACTATAGTGAAAATTTAGTAAATCCTGAAAACCTACATTACTTTTGAGTTACTTGCACTGGCATGTTTTTTTAGAAATTATGACACAAACTGTCTTGATTAAGAAATATTTTTATTAAAATGGGCTATACTAAAAACAATGACTTTATTTCACTCTAAGTCATCTTCTCTATTTTAGAAATGTGATAAAAATTTTCTAAGCAGTAATTTTTCATTCATTCTTTTTTTTTTTTTTTTTTTTTTTTAAGACGGAGTTTCACTCTCGTTGCCCAGGCTGAAGTGCAATGACGTGATCTTGGCTCACTACAACCTCCACCTCCTGGTTTCAAGGGATTCTCCTGCCTCAGCCTCCCAAACAGCTGGGATTACAGGCACCTGCCACCACGCCCAGCTAATTTTTTGTATTTTTAGTAGACACGGGGTTTCACCATGTTGACCAGGCTGGTCTTGAACTCCTGACCTCAGGTGATCTGCCCACCTAGGCCTCCCAAAGTGCTAGGATTATAGGCGTTAGCCACCGCGCCTGGCCTCATTCATTCTTAAATGGAATTAAAACTCTATTTTAGTCTGAAATAGAAACACTCTAGTCTTACTTGTCATGTTTGATGAGAGGGTGAAGAATCTGACAGATGATCTTCACAACTACAATATTAAACTATAATAAATAAGAGCAAAATACAATTTGTAAAATTTTATTTCACACAATGCCTAAAGACCTATTCTCATAAAGTTCAAGAATTATGTCTGTGTATATGTGATTAGGCTCTACACAGAGAGAGCCTAATCACATACATTGTGTCTGGATGCGACAGGCCTACAATACTTTGGCTCCTGGCACTCACGGCAATAATTTTTTTTTTTTTTTTTGAGACAGGGTCTCACTCTGTAACCCAGGCTGGAGTGCAGTGGCACAATAATGGCTCACTGCAACCTTAACTTCCTGGGCTTAGGCAATCCTCCCACCTCAGCAAGCTGAATATATGGGGCCACAGGTGCTGACTACAACGCCCAGCTAATTTTATTTTTTTGGACAGACAGAGTCTTTCTATGTTGCCCAGGCTGGTCTCGACCTCCTGAGCTCAAGCCATCCTCCTGCCTCAGCTTCGCAACATGCTAGAATTATAGGCATGAGCCCACCGTGCCCAGCCATGGCAATAATCTTAATAAAATGTGCCCATTATTATAATAAATATGAATATATTTATAAATAAATATTATAAATAATTTATAATGTTTATTTACAATTATTTATTATTTATAATTTAAATTTATTATTTATTTAAATTATTTATAATTTATTTATAATTATTTATTATAAATATTAATATATTAATAAAAAGTGCCCATTATTATAATTATTATATTATTTTAGGAAATCATAATATGTACTACATAACAGAAATCCCTTGATAATTTTATGACAGTTATAATTTTATTCAATGGTGATCAACCTAGAAAATCCACTGTCTTCTAAGAAGTGACAGGAAAGATGACTCAAACAACTGCCAAATATACTAGTGATGATGCTAATATTTTACATTAACATTAAAATTAGTATCAGGGATAACAATTTTCAGTTGGAGAGATCAGTACAGATATTCCTTTGTTCCTACAAGGTTTTATTAGGCTCCTGTGTTAATAAAAATACTAAACTTTTGTGGAAACTATTCTTAATAATTTAAAAGTACTAATTGACATTTTTCATTAGCCAAACTGGTAAAATTTATCATAAAGCTATGTTAAAACCCACAGCACTCTTTAAGCATATACATTTCTTTCCTGGCTGCTAGAACAGTCAATTAATATCTCTTCAAGACAATTAATGTCAGAATAAAGAACAAGTAAAGAAACCAAATTTCTCTAGGCAAATGTCTTTTTAGGCTATCTTCATTTGAAATGAAAGAAAAACTCAGTTAACATTTATTCAGCAGGTAGTTCCTACTTTGATGAATTTCAATAGCAATCTATTGCTCACTGAGGAAATGTATCTTTTCAGTGTTTTATATAAAAACGTTTTTATATAACAAACCACCCCAAATTTACTGGCATAAAACAAAAGCCATTTTATTACGCTCATAGATTCTATGAATCGGGAATCACAAAGGGCACATTCAAGATGGCTGGTCTCTACTTCACAAAATCTACAGCCTTGATGCAGAGTCTCAAAGGCTAGGGGTGACTGGGAGTGACTCAGTGGCTGAAGCTGGCATGATCTAAATCATCTAACAGTTCATTCACTCACATGGCTGGTGACTGGCATGAAAGGACTCAAAGACTAGGATTTCTGACCTGAAATCTGATACCTGAGACTTGGGACCTTTCTACAAGGCTTAGCTTCCTGACACAGCAACCTCCAGGTACTCGGATTTCTCAGGGCTCCAAGCAGGCTGGTATTCCAACAATCAGAGCGGAAGCAGCATTGCCTTTTATGACCTAAGCTAGGAAAGTCACATGGCATCCCTTCTGCTGCATTCTAATGGTTACATAAGTGTGCTCAGATTCAATAGGAGAATTAGACCCCAACTCTTAATGAGTGGTAGGAAGTTCTAAAAAAATATGTGGGGCAAGAGACATTGTTGTGATTATCTTCTAAAAATATAATCAGCTACCATAACTTAATATTCACCACATGGTTTGGTTAAAATAGTACAATAAACAGCATTATAGTCTTTGATTGGTTTTAGCTCTGAATACAAGATAAAGTTTTCTAAAAACGATTATATTTTTAGCTTTGGAAATGGAAATTTAAAATTACTTGGGGTTGAAAAACTACTGTGTACTATTTAATATGTTCAGTACCTGGGTGATGGGATCATTTGTACCCTAAACCTCAGCATCATGCAATTTATCCAGGTAACAAACTGCATTACGTGCCCCCTGAATCTAAAATAAAAGGGGAAAAAACCCTACAGATAACATTATTTTTAAAAATTATATGGATATCACTTTATGTACTATTTCCAACTCCCTTGTGAAATAGATATTATTATCTGACTGTAATAGATGAGAAAGCTAATTCAGAAGCTGAATAACTTGCCCAGAATAAGTGCCAAAGTTGGGTAAATCCAGATATACGTGTGTCTGCAAGTACAGGCTCTTCCTTCTGTATAGGTAGCTGAACTTTGCTCAGTTACATGAAAGTTACACAGATATTGTGCTAATCAGAACTGTGCAAAGGACTGTCTGTACCTTCCTTTATATAGATGTAAGCTCTTCCAAAATGAATTTATAATCCAAACACGTTAGCTAGTTGTACTAGGTAACAACTGTCTATGTATCTGAATTAGTGACTAACAAAAAAAAAAAAAAAAAAATCACAATGAAATGTACCAGGAAGCAGTCTGCCACAGTATCTCAAGGGTAGTACAATGCTGAATACACACTTTAGCTTTCAATAAGTGTTTAACTGAATAAATAATAAATTCTAGAAAAAGTTCCAGATCATTTTAAGTAATGAACACTTATATATGTCCAAGAAGCTGTATTAGGGGCTGAAAAAGTAAATATAATCTGTCCTCTTAATTAAATTCTTAGGGGTCTGTGTTTTCTCTTGACAATCTAAATTATGTCCTTTTTTATCGCTCATTTTCTATTATTCTTTATCTACTAGAGTTTAAGCATTTCAAAACTAGAAATATGACTACTTGCACTACTTATACTTTGTCACTGTTTATAATGCCTAATATGGTAGTCTTGTGTTGCTCATTTGACTGATGGTGCTTTGTATGCAACACATAAAAGCCAGAAATATGACACACTGGACAGTTTTTATTAGAGCTTACCACCACATCACCATCCCCAGAAATGCATTTCTGCAACTAAAGGAAAATCATCAGCTCATACTATTTTTTCTTTGCTCTAACTGTATTTTGGAGACCAAATGTAGCTTATAATATTAAAAACAAATCAACATTTTTATTTCTCTGAAACACAACTACATCAATGTAAGTTTTGCATTTTGTAATGATCAGTTTCATCTTTCATGAAGTTACTTGAAGAATCTTCAATTTTCAGAAAAGTTAAAAAATTGTTTTTAAAATCTGATGAATTTCTTGTCAAAAAAACTTTGATGGTATGTGTTTCTCACCGTTTTAAAGGCAATTTTTTTTTAACGTTCAATTCCTAGAACAAAAATCATAACAAACTGTCTCTCAGACCACAGTGCAATCAAATTAGAACTCAGGATTAAGAAACTCACTCAAAACCACACAACTACATGGAAACTGAACAACCCGCTCCTGAATGACTACTAGGTAAATAACAAAGTGACGGCAGAAATAAAGATGTTCTTTGAAACCAATGAGAACAAATACACAACACACCAGAATCTCTGGGACACATTTAAAGCAGTGTGTAGAGGGAAATGTATAGCACTAAATGCCCACAAGGGAAAGCAGGAAAGATCTAAAATAGACATTCTAACATCACAATTAAAAGAACTAGAGAAGCAAGAGCAAACAAATTCAAAAGCTAGCAGAAGGCAAGAGATAACTAAGATCAGAGCAGAACCGAAGGAGATAGAGACATAAAAAACCCTTCAAAAAAAAAAAAAAAATCAATGAATCCAGGAGCTGGTTTTTTGAAAAGATCAACAAAATTGATAGACCGCTAGCAAGACTAATAAAGAAGAAAAGAGAGCAGAATCAAATAGACACATTAAAAAATGATAAAGAGGATATCACCACCGATCCCACAGAAATATAAACTACCATCAGAGAATACTATAAACACCTCTACGCAAATAAACTAGAAAATCTAGAAGAAATGGATAAATTCCTGGACACATACACCCTCCCAAGACTAAACAAGGAAGGAGCTGAATCTCTGAATAGACCAATAACAGGTTCTGAAATTGAGGCAATAATTAATAGCCTACCAACCAAAAAAAGTCCAGGGACAGACGGATTCACAGCCGAATTCTACCAGAGGTACAAAGAGGAGCTGGTACCATTCCTTCTGAAACTATTCCAATCAATAGAAAAAGAGGGAATCCTCCCTAACTCATTTTATGAGGCCAGCATCATCCTGATACCAAAGCCTGACAGAGACACAACAAAAAAAGAGAATTTTAGACTAATATCCCTGATGAACATCGATGCAAACATCTTCAATAAAATACTGGCAAACCGAATCCAGCAGCACATCAAAAAGCTTACCTACCACGATCAACTTGGCTTCATCCCTGGGATGCAAGGCTGGTTCAACACACGCAAATCAATAAATGTAATTCATCACATAAACAGAACCAATGACAAAAACCACATGATTAATTCAATAGATGCAGAAAAGGCCATTGACAAAATTCAACAGCCCTTCATGCTAAAAACTCTCAATAAACTAGGTATTGATGGAAAGTATCTCAAAATAATAAGAGCTATTTATGACAAAGCCACGGCCAATATCATACTGAATGGGCAAAAACTGGAAGCATTCCCTTTCAAAAATGGCAGAAGACAGGGATGCCCTCTCTCACCACTCCTATTCAGCATAGTGTTGGAAGTTCTCGCCAGGGCAGTCAGGCAAGAGAAAGAAATAAAGGGTATTCAATTAGGAAAAGAGGAAGTCAAATTGTCCCTGTTTGCAGATGACATGATTGTATATTTAGAAAACCCCATCATCTCAGCCCAAAATCTCCTTAAGCTGGTAAGCAACTTCAGCAAAGTCTCAGGATACAAAATCAATGTGCAAAAATCACAAGCATTCCTATACACCAATAACAGACAAACAGCCAAATCATGAGTGAACTCCCATTCACAATTGCTTCAAAGAGAATAAAATACCTAGGAATCCAACTTACAAGGGATGTGAACGACCTCTTCAAGGAGAACTACAAACCGCTGCTCAACAAAATAAAAGAGGACACAAAAAAATGGAAGAACATTCTATGCTCATGGATAGGACAAATCAATATCATGAAAATGGCCATACTGCCCAAAGTAATTTATAGATTCAATGCCATCCCCCCATCAAGCTACCAATGACTTTCTTCACAGAATTGGAAAAAACTACTTTCAAGTTCATATAAAACCAAAAAAGAGCCCACATTGCCAAGACAATCCTATGCAAAAAGAACAAAGCTGGAGGCATCATGCTACCTGACTTCAAACTATACTACAAGGCTACAGTAACCAAAACAGCATGGTACTGGTACCAAAACAGAGATATAGACCAATGGAACAGAACAGAGGCCTCAGAAATAACACCACACATCTACAACCATCTGATCTTTGACAAACCTCAGAAAAACAAGAAATGGGGAAAGGATTCCCTATTTAATAAACGGTGCTGGGAAAACTGGCTAGCCATATGTAGAAAGCTGAAACTGGATCCCTTCCTTACACCTTATACAAAAATTAATTCAAGATGGATTAAAGACTTAAATGTTAGACCTAAAACCATAAAAACTCTAGAAGAAAACCGAGACAATACCATTCAGGACATAGGCATGGGCAAGGACTTCATGACTAAAACACCAAAAGCAATGGCAACAAAAGCCAAAATTGACAAATGGGATCTAATTAAACTAAAGAGCTTCAGCAAAGCAAAAGAAACTACCATCAGAGTGAACAGGCAACCTACAGAATGGGAGAAAATTTTTGCAATCTACCCATCTGACAAAGGGCTAATATCCAGAATCTACAAAGAACTTAAACAAATTTACAAGAAAAAAACAAACAACCCCATCAAAAAGTGGGCAAAGGATATGAACAGACACTTCTCAAAAGAAGACATTTATGCAGCCAACAGACACATGAAAAAATGCTCATCATCACTAGTCATCAGAGAAACGCAAATCAATGCCACAATGAGATACCATCTCACACCAGTTAGAATGGCGATCATTAAAAAGTCAGGAAATAACAGATGCTGGAGAGGATGTGGAGAAATAAGAATGCTTTTACACTGTTGGTGGGACTGTAAACTAGTTCAACCATTGTGGAAAACAGTGTGGCGATTCCTCAAGGATCTAGAACTAGAAATATCATTTGACCCAGCAATCCCATTACTGGGTATATACCCAAAGGACTATAAATTATGCTACTATAAAGACACATGCACATGTATGTTTATTGCGGCACTATTCACAATAGCAAAGACTGGGAACGAACCCAAATGTCCACCAATGATAGACTAGATTAAGAAAATGTGGCACATATACACCATGGATTACTATGCAGCCATAAAAGAGGATGAGTTCATGCCCTTTGCAGGGATATGGATGAAGCTGGAAACCATCATTCTGAGCAAACTATCACAAGGACAGAAAACCAAACACCGCAAGTTCTCACTCATAGGTGGGAACTGAACAATGAGAACACTTGGACACAGGGCAGGGAACATCACACACGGGGGCCTGTCATGGGGTGGGGACAGGGGAAGGGATAGCATTAGGAGAAATACCTAATGTAAATGATGAGTTGATGGGTACAGCAAACCAACATGGCACATATATACTTATGTAACAAACCTGTACGTTGTGCACATGTACCCCAGGACTTAAAGTACAGAACTTAAAGTTCAGAAAATATTTTATAATGTCAAAAATATAAATTATGCAATATATGTATACATGTAAGTATATATAAATAATTTGCATCTCAAAAAAAATTATTCTGGGTCACAAAAAAAAAGTTCAATTCCTGTTTTTTTCCATATGAAAAAAAAATTCCAACAATCATTTACTAGTTATCTGAAATTATATACTTTTTTATATCATTTAAAAATTTTTTAAATGTAATTATCTTAAAATTTTAAAATTATATATCATTTATGTAATTCTTTTGCATATAGTTATTTTAAATGTTATAGAACTCATATATTATAAAATGCTAAGACATAATAATGTTCCTTAGAAAAAATATAGTGGCCCTATTATTATTATTTTTGTTTGTTTGTTTGTTTGTTTTTAAGACAGAGTCTTGCTCTGTCGCCCAGGCTGGAGTGCAGTGGTGCGATCTCGGCTCACTGCAAGCTCTGCCTCCTGGGTACATGCCATTCTCCTGCCTCAGCCTCCCAAGTAGCTGGGACTACAGGTGCCCACCACCATGCCCAGCTAATTTTTTTTGTATTTTTAGTAGAGACGGGGTTTCACTATGTCAGCCAGGATGATCTCGATCTCCTGACCTCATGATCCACCCGCCTTGGCCTCCCAAAGTGCTGGGATTACAGGCGTGAGCCACCGCGCCCGGCCTAGTGGCCCTATTATTATACTATGATGACTTTTTAAAATGGAATGCCATTTTTCCTAGAAAATTTATTTAATGCTGCAAGGCCAAAAATAAGGAAAGAAAAAATCCAACAGATCTTGGTTTAGGCTAGTGAAGTCCTTATGAGGTAACTGAGCTTGAAAGTTTCCATATTAAAATTTGTATTATTTCCTTATAAAATAGGCCCCCCATTTCCTTCATTTGGAATCTATTCTGTGGTTCTTAATCAATGACAATGATAATATCTTAAGGGTATATATAAAATGAGGATATAAAAGAGCTTAAGCAACTTGCTGAAGGCTATACACAGTTCATGGGAGAGCAGAGAATCTATTCCATATCTCTATGATTTCTTATATCATTCTGATTAATTAAAAATTCAGTTTAACCATGATTAGTGACTATATAGATCATAAGTAGTTAACTGTGCTCTTGACTACTTTTATGATTAAATTTTCACAATTAACTTCTTAATTTTAAAATATTAATTTTCAAAAAGTAATATAAATTCAACTTTACAGTAATTTTGAACATAATTAAATCTTTAGCAATTCAGATACCTCCAGGAACCAGATAAACAGGAGTTTTAATGAGTGAAATTTGAAGGATATAAGATAATAAGAAGTAATGAAAACTAGGGGGACCTCATACCCTGCCTAAAAGACAACTACAGATGACTGTTTAATGGGAATGCAGCCTAGGGTATTGTACATTTTTTATTTTTTTGAGATGGAGCCTTGCTCTGTCGCCCAGGTTGGAATGCGGTGGCTCTATCTTGGCTCACTACAATCTCCACCTCCCGGGTTCACGTGATTCTCATGCCTCAGCCTCCTGAGTAACTTGGTTGGACTAAAGGCTAATTTTTGTACTTTTAGTAGCCGTGTTGGCCACTCTGGTCTTGAACTCCTGGCCTCAAGTGACACATCCGCCTTGGCCTCCCAAAGTGCTGAGATTACAGGCGTAAGCCACCACTTGGCTAGAAAGCGTATTTTCATCAGAAATTTCTTAAGTGTTAACAGTTAATTCCAATTTCTAAAATCTCCTTAACAAAATCCATCTACATGGTATATTTGGCCCACAGGCTGCTGCCTGACAAACTCTATTATAAAAATTCCTATTATCACTATAGGATACTGTTGTTAAGAGTAGTAGCATGACCTAAATCTGTAGTGACTTTGTAACATCTACAAACAAGTATTTACCAAATGCCAAAAAGAAATATGAAACACTGAGTGAATAGAACTACATCACTGAATGAGATTTGAAATCTAAGTAGTAGTAGGTACCACAGAAATGAGAGGTCAGTAGAACTCAGAAGCCGTCTTAATGAGTTAGACTATGAAAAATGACTAAGAAGACAGAAGAAAACAGGCTATTCTAGAAGAAATAATATAATAACAGAATCAAAGATATACTGGTGTTATGACGAAGAATATAGGGGACAGTGAAAGGAAGATGTGTTCCAGAGAGTAATGAGAAATAAGAGGTAGCAAAGTTCCATGGATCTTGAAAGCTCAGCATGGTTTAGACTTGATATGATAGGCAATTGAAGCAATATTAGATTCTTGTATAAGAAAGTAATACAATTGATGTAGTGTCTTTTTAAAAATGTTAATCTGGTCATAGTATATAGAAAGGACTGGGGAGCAGAAAGTCTAGTATCTCAGTACTACAGGAATGAGGTGATTAGTGTCTGGATTCTGTTAGTGGAAATGTCCGAAAGGGACAACAGTTTTCCATCAACTCACTTACTTGGATGAATCCTTAGTATTAGCTTCTTCATGTTTGTGTGTGTGTTATGTATGTGTGCGCTTGCTTTTTTTCAGTAACAAATTGGAGCTAGTCTGGTATAATAAAAAGAACACTAGTATAGGAGTTGAGAGATCAACATTCTAGGCCTGACACTGCCCCTAACTAAAGGCATGAACTCAGACCTGTCTCTTGACAGGTCTTACTGATCCTCAGTTCCCTAATCTAGCCAAGTAGAGAGAGAACCATAATATCATCATTTGAGGTTCCAGATCTCACAATATTTTTCCATTTCCAAAACCAGCCATCTGAAGATTTCAGACTTAAAAATCTGGTTTCTGACTTCTTTTGAAAAGTCAAAAATGTGACTTCCTTGGGCCCACATTCTTAGGGCAAAACTCATTGAGGTTGCACAGGGAATCCCTTTCCAGGTTGGGCAAATGCTCTAGTTGCCATAGTCCCAGCATTTCCTTCTGTATCCTTAGAATGATGTCCAGTGTTAGATGCCATTCATCATGTTTTTGCTGCTGTCTTTGTTATAGCAGAGAAATGTATTTCTAAGCTGTTCTTTTTTATTCAAAGTAACAAAATGAAAGACAAAAAGAAAGACATACTTTAAGAAAAATAAGAGAAAGCCATCTTCATGGAAATAAAAAATATTCTCTTTTACTCAATATGCAAAAAAAAAAAAGGGTATGTAAAAAAAAATCACCATTTAATTACCTTTAATCAGTTACATTTGAGTTTGGGAACCCTGCTCTAGGTAATGGAAAACCGTTACAAAATATGTCTAAGGAGTAAAACAATCAGATTTACATTTTAGAAAGAGTACTTGTTATAGATGGAATGTTTGTGTCCCCTAAAAATTCATATGTTGAAATCCTACTCCCAATGTGGATGATATTAGGTGGTAGGGCCTTTGAGAGGTGATTAGGTCATTAGAGTGGAGCCCTTGTGAATGGAATTAGTGCCCTTATAAACTCAACCTCCAGAGAGCTTCCTCACTCCTTCTACCGTGTGAGGTTACATAGAAAAGATGACCTATAAACCAGGAGGCAGGCCTTGACCAGACACTGAATCTGCCAGCACCTTGATCTTGAACTTCCCAGTCACCAGAACTGTGGGAAAAAAAAATCTGTTGTTTATATGCCACCCAATATATAGTATTCTGTTACAGCAGCCCAAATGAACTCAGACAGTACTCTAGCAGCATGTAAAAACTGGTCAAGAAGAGGGATGCCAGGGGAAAGAACATCTGTTAAAAGGGTAGTGTAGTCTCAAGAAGAGGTAATAAGGGCCTAAACTTACATGTTTACAGTAAAGAGGTGGGAGGTTTAATTCAAAGTAGTAGAGTTGCTAAAACTTAGGGAACCCAATGATATTAAAAGAATGACTCCAGATTTTAGGAACAGTTGCACGGATGAATGGTGGTATCATTCACTTAGATAGGGAATTCATAGAGAGAAAAAGTCTTGTGGAAAGGTGAAGTAGTGCAGCACTACTCTATAGCAAGAATTGGCAAACTACAGCCCATTGCCTACGTAAAATTTTTGTACAGTCCACAGCCCATACATACTTTTATGTAATGGTGAAAGTAAAAGTAATGCAAAAATAATGGCTTTTACTTCTATAAATGGTTGAATAAAATTAAGGGAAAAACATATTTCATGAAATGCAAATTATATAAAATTTAAATTTCAGTGCCCATAAAATTTTATTGGAACACAACTCATTCCTTTGTGCATTGCCTATAGCTGTGTTTGCATTATGATAGCAGAGTTGAGGGGTTGTAACAGAATGATTCACTTTACACAGTTGCTGGATGCACTACAAATTGCAGTGACAGTTATGACTTGTCAAGTGCTTCAAAAACCATAGTATACTGTTATACCACATTTGATCTTCCTGTCAAAATAAGAGAAGCATGTCACACTTTTAAGGCATTTAAAGTAGTATGTGAATTGTTTTGTTATCGAGTTAGATGGCAAACCATTGTACTATACAATATACATCGATACTACCAGACTAAGCACTCATCACATTCGCAAGACAAAGGAAGTTATCATCAGAGAAATCAGGAAAATATAAAACAAAGTATCTCATCACAGCAGAATTTCCACACAGACACACACACACACACACACACACACACACACAGCTGCAAACAAATTAAGCTTCCGGGTATCTCATTTATTATCCAAGCAAGGAAATCCAGTTACCCATGGGGAGTTAATTAAATTGTATTTGGCTGTAGCCACCAATGTTTCCAGAGAAAATAAACTTGTTTAACCTTTCAGTGAGAATAACTACTGGAGATGAGGACACTGGGAGCAATACTAACATTCAACTAAAAAACAAGGCAAAAGACTTGTAGAGGTTTTCTTTGGCTCTTGATGAGCTGGCAGATATTAATGATACTGCTTAGTTTTTTCTCAAGAAGTCAATTCCAAGCTTGAAATCACGGAAGAGTTAGAGTCTATGAAGAGTCTCCATAAAATAATAATAAGCAAGAATATTTCCCAAGTTGAGAAAGCACCAATTCAGTATAACCTGAAGTGGAATCCGTTAAGATGTGTTGCAACTGATGGTGACAAAAATAAATGAAGACCAGAAAAAGGTTTAGTTGAACAAATTTACAAAGTTTGTGAAAGCATAGCTATTTAAAGCTATGGTACTTCACTCTATTATTCATCAATAGGGAAAACAATTTATCATGTATCATTGAACCAGTAGGGAAAACATTAATTTATCATGTATCACTGAACCAGTAATGTCACCAGTGAACTTCATTTATTCTCACAGATTTAACCATCATAAGTTCTGTAAATTTTGATCAGAAATGGAAACAAAATCTGGACTTGCCTTATGACACAGAAGTCTAATGGCTTAGTGGTTACAGAGTTTTATTGTGATTTTTTTGAGCTCGAGGTCACAAACGAAATTTTCTGAACAAAAAGAAATGCCTTTAACCACTACTATAGCTTTGGAAATTAAAATTTGCTGCAAATTTGACAGTTTCCTAATGAATCTGACTTAAAAGTCAAGGCAAAGCAGTGCTTACGTGAGAAAATACTGCAATAAAGTCATTTTGACAACACTGTTCCAATTACAAGTAATAATGGCTTTATATACTTCCTGTGTTGTCAAATGTTAAAATAAAAAGATCTCCCTCCATACACAAATTTGCAATAGATATATTTTGCAAGTTCAAACTATAGTTCCTGCAGTGCTTTTCAGACCTCACTGCAAGTGCAAAGGAAATTTCTATATTTCAAAATCCATTTAACCATGCAATTGAGGAGCTCCCACCTAACCTTAAATTGGAAGTGGTTAATCTGCAATGTAATTGCATACTAAATAGCAAATATCAAGAAAAGTCTTGGGAAAAAAAACAAAACAAAACAATGCTTTTTGCCAACAATTACAGCTGTACTGAGAGAATTCTATTAGTGCCTTCCATACAATGAATATGCTCATTAAGATCATATACAATTGGCAGTACTTATTTGTGTGGGGAAAAAAATGCCTCAAAGATGAAATTTGTAAAACTGCATTACAGGTCTGCATTAACAGATGAACATCTACAATAAATTCTGATAAGAGGATAACTTTGAATCTTAATAAGTGAAATGTTATCCCAAAAGAACTTTAAAATAAAAAATATAAATTAAAAAAAAAGAACTCCAGTCTTTTCATTTTTTAATCACAATAAATTGTGTTCAATTAATGTTATCATATTTCAAATGTAGTAAAAAAAATGATGGACATTTATGTTCTCTCATATATATTTTTCCCTTTTCTATTAGGCTGGCGCAACATAACTGCAGTTTTTGCATTGTTGAAATTTGCTGTTAGATGCTCGAATACATTCTTAAATAAATGTGGTTATGTTATACATCATTTTAATGCACAGTTCTCTTTACGAGTGATTTTCTTATTTCTGAGTTCAAAATGGGTCGTAAAGCAGCGGAGACAACTAGCAACATCAACAATGCACTTGGCCCAGGAACTGCTAATGAACATACAGTGCAGTGGTGGCTCAAGAAGTTTTGCAAAGGAGACGAGAGCCTAGATGAGGAGGGTAGTGGAAGATGAGAAGTCGACAATGACCAATTGAGAGCAATCATCAAAGCTGATCCTCTTACAACTACACGAGAAGTTGCCGAAGAACTCAATGTCGACCATTCTCTGGTAGTTCAGCATTTGCAGCAAATTGGAAAGGTGAAAAAGCTCGATAGGTGGGTGCCTTATGAGCTCAGCGAAAATCAGAAAAAAATCGTTGTTTTAAAGCGTTGTCTTCTCTCATCCTACGCAACAACAATGAACCATTTCTCGATCAGATTGTGACGTGCAACAAGAAGTGGATTTTATATGGCAACTGAAAAGTGGATTTTATACAACTGGAGATGACCAGTTCAGTGATTGGACCAAGAAGCTCCAAAGCACTTCCCAAAGCCAAACTTGCACCAAAAAAAGGTCATGGTCACTGTCTGGTGGTCTGCTGCTGATCCACTACAGCTTTCTGAATCCCGGTGAAACCATTAAATCTGAGAAGTATGCTCAGCAAATTGATGAGATGCACTGAAAACTGTACTGTCTGCAGCTGGCACTGGTCAACAGAAAGGGCCCAATTCTTCTCCATGACAACGTCCGACCACAGATCGCACAACCAACGCTTCAAAAGTTGAACGAACCGAGCTATGAAGTTTTGCCTCACCTGCCATATTCACTTGACCTCTCACCAACTGACTACCACTTCTTCAAGCATCTCGACAACTTTTAGGAGGGAAAATGCTTCCACAACCAGCAGGATGCAGAAAATGCTTTCCAAGTGTTTGATAAATCCCGAAGCATGGATTTTAATGCTACAGGAATAAACTTACTTCCCATTGGCAAAAATGTGTTGATTTTAATGTTCCTATTTTGATTAATAAAGATGTGTTTGCGCCTAGTAATAATTATTTAAAATGCAGAGTCTGAAACCACAATTACTTACACACTAACCCAATATGTAGTATCTTTGATTCCGCCTCATGGCCTACAAAGCCTGAAATATTTATCATCTGGTCCTTTATGGAAAAAGCTTGTCAGCCTATGCTTGATGGTGGTGCTGTTCCCAGTGTGGCATCACCTGGGAAGGTCTTGACAATGCAAATTCTCAGCCCACCCCACATCTATTGAACCAGAACTTCTGAAGGTGGGCCCAGTATTTTTTAAAAACAAGCTCTTCAAGTGATTCTATGCAAGCTGAAGTTTGAAAACCATTGCTCTAAATCAGGATGTTGGAGTGTTAGTTGTCCCCTTGGATAAATTATTTAATTCTTTGATTTAGTAAAATGGAGACAGTGTCACCTACTTCATAGAATTGTTGAAAGGATTAAAATTCAGTTTTAAAAATATGTAAAGTGTAGCATAACTCACATCAATCATTCTTAATAAATGGTAATTATGAACTCAATGGTATACAGCCCCCTATACTACCCCATGAGATATAATTATTAAATTTTCAGGATTTTTATGAGGCAGTTATTAAAACATAATTATATATACATAAATGAGTTATACTAAAACAGAAGAATTAACACTCAAAACCATCACTACTTACTTTACATTTTACTATTATATGTGCTAATGAGATTATGTCTGTATGGTGGATATGGTATATAATGATGTGCTACCTCTTATCTCTTCTCAACTCTGCATTCAGTGACACTATTTTAGCGGCTTGAAATGAGCCATGGGGGGAGTATTTACACCACAGGAAATTGACAGCCATCACAAATCAGGGCTATTTTGGAGAAAGGCGTTTAGTTAAACATTTACCAGCACCCCTCTAATTATCATTATTAAAAATTATAAAATGAGTTTTATTTTGAACTCAATGAGTTTAATTAGTAGAGATGTCTACTAATCTGCTAAATACAAAGATGTAGCCCAGATATTAATAAATATATTTCAGTACCAATAAGTACCTAAAGTCATTTTGTGAACAAAAAGGACTTTGGAATTAACAAGTACTGTTGACCCTTGAACAATGCAGGCACTAGGGGTACCAATCCCCCTCTCACTCAGTCAAAAATCCACACATAACTTTTAACTCCCTAAAACCTTAATAGCCTAATGCTGACCAGAAGCCTTACCAATAACATAAACAGTCAATTAACACATATTATGTATGTTATATGCATCATATACCATATGCATCAAATACCATATTGTTACAATAAGGTAAGCTAGAGAAAAGAAAATGGAAGGAAGAGAAAATGTATTTACTGTTCATTACATGGGAAGTGGGTCATCATAAAGGTCTTCATCCTTATTATAGTCACTCTTGAGTAGGCTGAGAAGAGGAGGGGTTCATCTAGCTGTCTCAGGTGTGGCAGAGGTGGAGGAGGTAAAAGGGGAGGCAGGAGAGGCAACTCACTTGGTATAGCTTTTATTGAAAAAAAAAAATCCACATGGAAGTGGAACTGCGCTGTTCAAATCCATGTTATTCAACGGTCAACTGTACAGCCAATCATAGCTAAGAGCTCAATTTAACCACTTCCATTTATCACTAACCTAGTCCTTGGTTTTAACTCCTGAAATGCTTCTAGTTACAAAAGCTATATAAATAGAAGCACTGAGAGAATTATTTCACCTGCAATTTGAATCCAGCATCCATATCTTAGCCAGCTTGAGAAATGTTTTTTTAGGTCATTTATTCAGACAAAGCTAAAGTTGGTTCAAACCCTTAAGTTGCTACCTCAAGTATACATTACCATTTGAACACTAAAGAAAAACAAGTTATATAGAGGTTATATTTAAGATACCAATGATATGGAGTATATTTCAAACTTCAGTTTCAAGGAATCACAGGCTTTTATAACTGAAATAGTCTTTATAACTATATGGTTTGAATGTTTTTGTCCCCTCCAAAACTCATGTTGAAACTTAAACACAACAGTACTGGAAGGTAATGGGAGGTGTTTAGGTTATGATGGCTCTGCCCTCATAAATAGATTAATGGCATTATAAAAAGAGCTTACCAGAGTGGATTTTCTCTTTTGCTTTTCTGTTGTGTGAGGGCACAAGGTTTCTCCTCTTTGGAGGACACAGCAACTAGGCCTCATCTTGAAACCAAAGACCAAACCTGCAGGCACTTTGATCTTGTAGTTACCAGACTCCAGAACTCTGATAGAATAAATTTCTGTTCTTTATATATTACCCAGTCTGCAGTATTCTGTCATAGCAGCACAAAATGGACTGAGACAATAACCTATTCTAATATATTCATTTATTATTTACATCTAGGTAAATACAGATTGAGTATCCCTTATGCAAAATGCTTTAGACCAGAAGTGTTTCAGATTTTGAAATTATTCAGATTTTGGAATACATGCATGATACTAACTGGTTTAACATCCCTAATCCAAAAATCTGAAACCAAAAATCCAAATGCTGCAATGTGCATTTCCTTTGAGTGTCATGTCAGCATTCAAAAAGTTTCAGATTTTGAAGCATTTCAGATTTTGAATTAGGGATCCTCAACCTGTATTTTTATTTTATTTTAGCTACTGAGTTGTATGAGTTCCTGATTATTTTTACGTGTTAACCCCTAATCGGATATACGGCTTGCAAATATTTCCCCTCATTATGTAAGCTGCCTTTTCATTTTGTTGTTTCCTTTGCTACAGAGAAACTTATTAATTTGATGAAGTCCCATTTGTTTATTTTTGCTTTTGTTGCCTGTGCTTTTGGTGCCATAAACAAAAAATCATTGCCAACACCAATCTTATGGAGCTTCTCTCCAGTATTTTCTTGCGCGCATCTTATGCTTTTCAAATTCAAATCTTTTGTTTAAATCTCTGACCCATTTTGAGCTGATTTTTGTATATGGGATGAATAAGGATCCAATGTCATTCTTCAGTATGTGGGTATCTAGTTTTAACAACAGTGTTTATTGAAGAGATTGTCCTGTCCCCATTGTGTTTCCTTGGCTTTTTTTTTTTTTTTTTTTTTTGAAGATCAATTGACTGTAAATTCTTGGGTTTATTTCTGGCCTCTCTATTCTGTTCCATTGATCTATGTGTCTGCTTTTATGCCAGTACCATACTGTTTTGATCACTACAGCTTTGTAACATGACTTGAAGCATGTAGTGTGATGCCCCTGGCCTTGTTCTTCTTGCTCAAGATTATTCTGGCTATTCAGATCTTTTGTGGTTCCATACAAATTTTAGAATTGTTTTGCTATTTCTGTGAAAAGTTTCACTGGAATTTTGATAGGGATTACATTGAATCTGTAGATCACTTTCAGTACTATGAACATTGTAACAATATTAATTCTTCCAATTTATGAATATGGGATATCTGTTAATTTTTCAAATTCTTTCATCAATGTCTTACAGTTTTCAGCATAGAGATCTTTCACCTTCTTGGTTAAATCTATTCCTAAATATTTTATATTTTTGCAGCTACTGTAAATAGGATTGTTTTCTTGATTACATCCTCAGAAAGTTTGCTGTTAGTGTATAGAAATGCTTCTGATTTTTCTATGCTGATTTTGTATCCTGAAACTTTACTGAATTCATTTATTAGGACTAATAGTTTTTGTCTTTTTTTTCAAGGAGTCTTTAAGGCTTTCTATGTATAAGACCATGCTATCTTTAAACAGATCATTTTACTCTCCAATTTGAATGCTTTTTAATTTCTTTTTCTTGTCTATTTGCTCTGCTAGGACTTCTAGTACTATCTTAAATAGCAGTGGCAAGAGTGGGCATCCTTGTTTTTTTTCTCAATCTGAGATAAACTTTTCAGATTTTCACCATTAAGTATGATGTTAGCTATGGGCTTGTCATATAGGACCTTTACTATGTTTAGGCATATTCATTCTACACCAAATTTGTTGAGAGTTTTAAAAATGAAAGTATGTTGAATTTTGTCAAATGCTTTTTCTGCATCAACTGAGATGATCGTATGATTTTTGTTCTTCATTCTGTTAACGTGGTGTATCACATTTATTGATTTGTGTATGTTCAACCATTCTTGCATCCCAGGGATAAATCCCACTTGATCATGACGTATGATCCTCTTAATGTGATGAGACTGCAAATCAAACCACAATGAGACACCATTTCACACCAGTCAGAATGGCTATTATTAAAAAGTAAAAACAAACAAACAAAAAACAGATGCTGTAAGGCTGTGGAGAAAAGAGAATGTTTTTACACTGTTAGTGGAAATATAAATTAGTTCAGACACTGTGGAACGCAATTTGGAGACTTCTCGACGAACTTAAAACAGAACTACCATTTGACCCAGCCATCCCATTACTGGGTATATTTCCAGAGAAAAATAAATCATGCTACCAAAAAGGCACATGCTCTTGGATCTTCATCGCAGCACTATTCACAATAACAAAGACATGAAAACAACCCAGGTGCCTATCAATAGTGGATTGGATAAAGAAAATGTGACACATATATACCATGGAATACTATGCACCCACAAAAAAGAATGAAATCATGTCCTTTGCAGCAACATGGATGGAGCTGGAGGCCACTATCCTAAGCAAATTAACATAGAAACAAGAAATCCAAATACCACATGTTCTCATTTATAAGCGGAAGCTAAGCACTGGGTGTACATATGGACATAAAGATGGGAACAACAGATACTGGGGACTACTAGAGGGGGACAAATGGAGGGAGGCAAGGGCTGAAAAACTACCCACTGGGTACCATGCACACTACCTGGGTGATGGGATTATTCATACTCCAAACCCCTGGGTGATGGGATTATTCATACTCCAAAGTGTCACATAACATGCCCATGTAAAAAACATGCACATGTACCCTCTGAACCTAAACTAAAAGTTGAAATTATTTTAAAAAAGGAACTAATACCAATCCTCCTCAAACTCTTTCCAAACAATGAAGGGAAATACTTCCAAACTCATTTAATGAGGCCAGCATTACCCTGATACCAAAGCCAGACAATGATACTACAAGAAAAGAAACTACAAGCTAATATCCTTAATAAACATAAATAGAAAAATCCTCAACAAAATACTGGCAAACTGAACTCAACATCAACATGTATTTTAAATTAAACTTTTTCCTTATCAGTTATCCAAACATTTGGCTATCTAAAATTACATCAGGTTCCCAAAGGACTGAATCTTCCTCCTTCATTCCTCCTGATGTTCATGACTGGATATTAAAATTTAGGTAATTCTGATGGCTGTTGTTAGTGCCACCAATAACTCCAGAATTGCTATGTTCAATCTCAGGTTCAATCAGGAATTTCTGGAGAGCATCCACACTATTTCCCCAAAGTCACCTAGAAATTCCAAGATTCCACTATGAAAGCAAAATCATTTTGGTTCTTAAAAAGAGTTAAGGCTATTATAATTTTTCAAATAGTAGTAGTACAGACTTCAGAATATGACTACCAAGGATAGTGAATTCAACCTTTCTCCCATATGAAAAAAGACATATACAAAACAGATATAATGCCAACATAAGAAAAATTTTTAAATTTACCAAGCTAGCATCTATGCTTTTTTGAAATCATAAATTTTAGTAATTACCAGCTTTCAAAAATATTTTATCACCCTGCCTAGACTTGCAAAGATCAGGCAAAATTAGTATTTATTATTTAGCTATGAAAACCATTCCTGGACTTGGAAATACAGGCAAAATAAAATGACTATAAGTTTGATACCTATCTACAGAGAAAACTACAACTCCAGGAATTAAAAATATAATTAGAAGCATACCTATAATCTAAAGAAGTCTCAAATTCACAAAGTCTAAGAGTAAAAGTGATAAAACCATTCATCAGTAAAGAGTATTGTTTAGGCAAAATGCCATGCAAAATTATAAAATCATTCTAGACTCACTCTGCATGACAGACATTATAAAAATAAAAATTGTACTATACTAAGTCACAAAGACATTAAAAATGAAATGTCAGAGAAATGTGAGGCACTATGGTGAAATTAAAAATTATCCTTAGACATGAAAACAGCACATGTCCTTCCATGTAAAATGTAACATTAAAATAATTTTTTTAATTTGTAAATTAAAATACATTTAAAATTTTAAAATATTTTCTAAAATGTAATATCTGTCATGCAGAGTGAGTTAAAAATATTTTTAAAAATCTATGTTTTCTCACAGATCTTTAAACAAGGTGAGAAATACAGCATGACTATACCTAGTGAACTGTTTCCACTTATTATTCACTTAGCCTTTACAACTGACCTCCATATCTACTAAACCTCTTAAAGTGGCTTTTTAGAAAAATATACTGGGTAATATCCTAACCAAAGCACTTAGAGCCTGTTCTCAGTCCCTATCACCCTCCTGACTGTTCTGAAAAAACAGACCTTATTAACTATTCACTCTTTCTTAAAACCAACCATATACCAATTCTAGTCTTTCACTCTGACTTCTGTGTTTTTCAGTGTGAAATCATACCATTCCTTTTTCCCTAACTACGGAAAACTTAAGGAACCCCATTCCTCAAGATTCTTACCATGAACAATTTTCCTCTTTTTCTTTGTTGACTCTTGTCCTCTGATCTAACTTCAAATATCACCTCAGGATATTTGTGGATAACTTCCAGATCTCTAATTCAAATTGTACTCTCGAAAGTTAAAATAAATGTTTGTCAACTATTTTTTATCTAGTTTCAGTCAGTCAACACAATTTTTCTATGTAGCTACTATGTGCCAGACACTAGTGTTAGAAATGTATTCAAATCCTAATATGACAACGTCCTTGTTATCAAGGAGCAGAGACTAAAGGACAGACCAAAAAGTCTAATGCAATAGGTCCAAAATTGAGTATCTAAGTTTCCTCTTCCTGTTAACTGAATATGTATCAGGAGATTCTCGTATCCTCATTATCACCCAGGCTAAAACCTGTGACTCTCAATTCCATACTCAATGGGTTGCCAAGTAAATCCTATTCTTTATTTGCAATATTCTATTCCCGTTGCCATAACCTGGTTCAAGCCATTAAACATTTTCGTCCAAACTCCAACAACAATCTTCTGAAGTGTTCTGTAGTTTCTCATCTAATCGATCCTGCACTCAACTGACAAATTTTCCTATACCACAGATGTGATCCATCACTTAACTACATAAAAATGTTTAGTGGTCTCTCAATAGGTAAGTCAGATTAAAATTCTTCAGCTTGGCATTTTAGATCCTACATTATCTGGTCATTAGCTATTACTGTACTACTTTTTCATGTCTGTTACCCACTATTTCCTTACCTTTTGCTCTAGCCAAACAATGCTGTTTAATCATATCCTGGAAATTCATAAAATGTTTCCTATCTATCTTCATTTATGTCATTTCTCTTCCAACCCCAGACCAACTCCATTCTGATTAACAGTCTCATTTCTACCTTTAAGAAGTTTAACCCACCTTTGGTTCAAATAACACCATTTCTCTAAAACGTTCTCTCCATTCTCTGAATCTATAATATATGTAAAGGTCTTTTATATAACTTATACTTTTACTTCTATTATAATTTGTGTATGTGTCATATTGTTCCTGCTAAGATTATAAATGTGAAACATGAATATCTTTTTATCTTTGTCCTCCCAGTACACTGTAGTACAGTACACTGCACAGTTGATATCCAACAAACACTAAATGTATGTTGAATCTGAAATATGACATATACATAAAATAGTAGCTATGGCCATAAAGTTATATAGGACTTTTCTTTCACTCTCTTGTGTAGGAAATTATTGCCATGAGAATATATATATATATTTTTTTTGAGACAGAGTTTCCCTCTTGTTGCCCAGGCTGGAGTGCAATGGCATGATCTCGGCTCACTGCAAACTCCGCCTCCCGGGTTCAAGTGATTCTCCTGCCTCAGCCTCCCAAACAGCTGGGATTACAGGCGCCCGCCACCACACCCGGCTAATTGTTTTTTTGTATTTTTAGTAGAGACAGGGTTTTACCATGTTAGTCAGGCTGGTCTCCAACTCCTGACCTCAGGTGATCCGCCCGCCTCGGCCTCCCAAAGTGCGCGCCCGGCTGAGACTATCTTTAAAAATCAACCTTATTTATTTCTTGAGACAAATTAAAAAGCACTTCTCCCTCCCCTCATCATTAACCAGTATACCTTCTACCTTCTTATGTGTACATGAATTGTTATACTAACTTCCTTGGCCCAGATATAAAACTGTTCCCCAAGGTTTCAATTTTAAATTATCATATGTACCTACTGATCATACATGAAACTGCCTTACCATTGAAGAGAGTTTAGAAGGAAACAGATTGCCTGAGGTTGACTCAAAACCAACCTACAGTGTACTGGGAGGCATGGTACAATTATACCTTTCTGTTTCTGCTTATCCCCCAACTAGATAATATGTACCAACCCAAATGTTTGTTCAGATGAAGACTATATCTTCAGGTTCAAAAGTTGAAAATAATAGGTGGCTTTAAGTTCAACAATTTGCCAAAGATTTACTGAATTTCTATTTGAAAAGCACTGTGGGGAACACAAAAAATAATAAGACACTTTTCATCTTCTGGGACTCATGATTAAATGCACAGCACACACATAAACAACTTTATTATATGGTAGATTACGTAAGTGCTAAAAAGCTTCTAACAAGGTACAAACAGTGCTTATGAAGAGACAGATTAACCAAAGAGTATCAGAGATGGCTTCAAAATGAGAGATAGGTTTCTATTTGGCCCTTTTTAAAAATCAAGCAATAGCACTCAAGATTTTGAAGATTATTTTTAAGTAGATAATTTCTTTTAGGTATTTTTATTCACCAGTGTTGTAACGGAATTGGATTTTTTCCACTGAAAAAGTACGGATTTAACATGTAAGCTAAAATGTTAAATGGATTGTTTAAGGCTCACCTGGAAACATGGGAAAATATATTTTGCAAGCCAAACTTGAACTTACAGTCCAATATCAGATAGGGTTATTGGACATACTGTATATTTCCTTTGAACATACACACACTTATCTGTGTATGTATGTTCAAAGGAATTTTATTTCAAAGTGTATTTTATCTGTGTATGTTCAAAGGGAACACACATAAACGTGTGTATGTTCGACGGAAATATACAGCTTGTCCAATAATCTGATATAATACCTATTTAAAAATCTACTTTAAGAGAAAGGCAGACACGCATAAATGGGCCACCCAATTTTTACAGAAATTTGTTCAGCATATCGAGTACTCACGTTAAAAAGAAAAAACAACTGAAAATAAAATTCAGAGCCCTAGACCTTTTTTGATTCATACCACCTCCTCCGTCAACCCTGGCCTCTTCCAGATATATGGCCAAAGGTCGGGATCAAAGCCTGAAGCATTTGCTGTTCCAGAAAACTCTATGGACACCATTCCCAGGTTTAGATACTTCTTGAAGATTCTGAGTTGCACCACCTAACTCTGAACGTGTTGAGCACTGTATTAACAGATGAAAGGACCACATTCATCTCAAGCTTTAAATAACTCGCACAGAAGGGGTGGGAAAAGTCCCAGCTGACAGATGCCAAGGGAGCAAATTTTAAAAAGAGGAAATTATGACAGACAGGAGTGGAAGCAAACTGGGGAACTTAGTACAAGTCGCTACTATTAAAAGAAACTTTGAGCTCTTAATTACATGACAGCATTCATCAGACGTTTCTGTGATTACTGAATGTAACAGTTAAGCAATAGATGATGTAAAAAAATTAGGTCAAATGTATATATCGTTTTATAAAACATATTTGCTCTTAAATCTCTCATCCAAACCAATCTCTTCAGATTAACTATAAATACAAAGGAACTAAAATCAGATTATGCAGATTAGACAGGAGGAAGCTGGGAAAGAATAACTACCATGTAAGTTCGGTAACAACGTTACAGGGCGCAGTTTCCTGCTACAGAAGACGGACGAAGGAATCCAGAAAATAGGCTGGGCACGGGAATATTGCACACTGTAGTCACCCAGCACTAATTCAACAGCTAGCGGCTCTATCCTGCCTCACGTTCCTCGTGGCCTCTGACAAGTCATCCTTTCAACCTATGAGGCTGTCCGCTCTCCCCCTTGGAAAATAATTTCCGTGCAGGTTGTAAGATCTCCCTCACAAACTACTTGCTTCCACTTCCCCGCCCGGGATGAGGAGTCTCCACGACGGGGAAAGGTCGCACTGACAGAGAAGGAAGTTACACGAAGTGGTAGTGGTCGGACCCGAGCCTCGAGCTCAGTACACGCGGGGGAAAAGGAAGCGGGCGGCCTCTGGAGAAACGGGGATGGAGCTGCAGATGCGAGCCCGCGAGGCAGGCTCCGTGGTGCCCGGGCACCGGCAGGAAGAATGGAGGAGGGGAGGCGAGGCTGCGAGGTGCCGGGGAGCCGGGCGGCGGTCCGGCCCGCGGCCGACCCCACCCCAGCCCGCGCTCGGGACCCTCCCAGCCCCGGCACCCGGCGTGCGTTCCGCGTGCGCCGACTCTCCCCGGAGGAACAGCCACCGTCTCACACCCGGGGACTGGAGAAATCCGGCAACTTTGCGCGAGAAATGCTTCCCACCCTGCAGCACGCCGAGAAAGAAAAAAATGTCAGGCGATGACGGCGGAGGAAGGATGACTTACCCATGTTGCTCCCCGAGGGTGAGGAACCGGCGGGGCGAGGCGAAGGTCTGTGGTGCGGGCGGCGCGGCTCTGTGTCCTCCCTCTACCTCCGTCTCTCCCGCAGCCAGGGAGGGACCCGCGGGGGGCGGCCGCCGGGGAGGAGCAGCTGGTGCTGCTGCAGGCGGCGCGGCCGCGGCGGGGACGAGCGGCGGGGGGCGGGGCGGGGCGGGGCGGGGCGGGACTGGCGGGCGCAGCCTGCGGCGGGCGCGGCTCCGAGCGGGCGGGCGGCGGAGGCGCGGGAGCCGGCCTGAAGAGCTCCGGCCCCGACTCGCAGCCCACGAGCGCCCCGCCCTCCCCACCGAGCATGCTCAGTGCCTTTTCCACCCCTCCCTCTGTGGCGAGCGAGGCTAAGCGTGCGGGTGGGCGTGTGTTTGCAGACCGGCTGCAGCCGCGGCAGAGGATCTTCATGGCGGCCGCCTGAGAGGCGGAGGGCGGGCCCGGAGAAAACAGGGAATGGGGATATTGAGCCCGATCTGCTAGCAGAGGACTCACCGCTGCCTTGCTTTCCCACCCTGACCCACCAACCCCTCACCCGGAACCCGGGCTTGCCTTCTTTACGGGACGACCGGGCCGCACAGGCCGGAATTAACCGGAGAAGAGGCTGGGCCGCCGCAGAGCCGGGAGGGGTGGTGGGAAGCCAGAGCTGACGAAGTTGGAAAGGACGTGTAGGCGACTAGGCCTGCGCCTCTTGGGGACACCTGAGGACGCCCGCTGGGCAGCTGGCTGAGGAGGGGCCGCCGGGAGGGCGCTCGATAGCAGGCGTGTCATTGGGACACTTAAGGCTGCTCTAGCTGTGGCCAGCTTAGAAACAAAGGTCCCGGCAGCGAGGAGAGCGCCCGCCCCAGGATTTCCTCGAAGAGTGTGTCGTTCTCCCTCCCGGAGGAGCGCGGCCTTCCGTTCCCCGGAGGGCTCTGGAAAGGCCCTTTAACCGGGGTGCCGTCGGGCTCCATCCTGCTGTGAAAGCGGGAGGAACTACGTTCCCCAGGCTTGAAAATAAGCGTCCTGCTGGGTTGGCTGCGGCACTGCCAAAGCTAACCCGGCGGAGGTCCTTTGATCCCGGGGCCACCGCCCGCTCCCACCACCACCTCGGCCTCGGGGAGAACCTGAGCAGGGCTCTCCCACTGAGGGCGTCCTCCCGACTGGGCATGCACGTGAGGCCGGGGCTGGCTTCGGTCCTCTTCCCTGGGGTAGGAGGCTGGAGGAAACCGATTTCTCTGCACCCTAATCTTGCCCTGGCTCCTCCTGAGTGGGGTGAGGAATCTGGTCGCTCTCCAAGGCTACAGCGACCGGAGTCCTTCAGGGGACACTGTGCAGTCAGCAGTACAACCTGTTGGAGAAAGATGGCTGAATCGAGGTGTCTTTCCCCTGTCAACTTTCACTCGGTCAATCCAATGTTGAGAAAGGGCTTTTTTTGTTTGTTTGTTAATTAGTCGCCTATTCTCACAGTCATCAGTTTCTGCTTGGTGACTAGTATTTCGAGCACACAAATCAGAAGCGACCCTGTAATTTGTTAAGCAAAGAGCAGATTTTATGTGATTTTTCTACAGCAAGAAACGATAATTAAAAAGGTTTGGTAAAACAGGAAAATACAATTTAACTGCTGAAGTCAAATATATGGGACTTTTCTGATGCATGAGACTATCAGGCACCTCACTCTTAGGATGTTCTTCTTGTTTGCCTCTTAAAATAATCGCACTACATTAGTTCCCTAGGGCTGCCGTAACATACCACAAATTGGGTGACTTAAAACAACAAATTATTATCTCACAATTCTGGAGGCCAGAAGTTTGAAATCAAGGTGTAGGCAGGGCTGTACTCCCTCTGAGGGCACTGGGGAGGGATCTCGTCCATGCCTCTCCTAGCTTCTGGTAGTTTCTTGGCATATGGTAGCGTAACTCCAATCTGAACATGGCTGTTCTCCCAGTGTGCTTGTGTGTTCAAATTTCCCTTTTTAATAAGAACAGCAGTCATAACGGATTAGGGGCGAACCATCCTCCAGTATGACCTCATGGACGTTAATTATATCTGCAATGACCCTATTTCCAAATCAGGTCACATTCTAAGGGACTAAGGGTTAGGACTTCTACATATGAATAGGGCCAGCCTGGCCAACATGACGAAACCCCATCTCTAACTAAAAATACAAAAAATTAGCCAGGGCCAGGCACAGTGGCTCACGCCTGTAATCCTAACACTTTGGGAGGCTCAGGAGGGCAGATCACTTAAGTCAGGAGCTGGAGATCAGCCTGGCCAACATGGCAAAACCCTATTTCTACTAAAAAATAAATAAAATAAATAAATTAGCTGGGCATGGTGGCACGTGTCTGTAATCCCAGCTACTTGGGAGGCTGAGGCAGGAGAATCGCTTGAACCCGGGAGGCGGAGGTTGCAGTGAGCTGAGATTGCACCACTGCACTCCAGCCTGGGCCACAGAGCAAGACCCTGTCTCAAAAAAAATAAAAATAAAAAAAAAGAATCCGGGAGGGGTACACAATTCAACCCATAATACACCAATGCAGACCCCACCCTCAGGGCCCCTCACTGCCCCCACATCGGCCATGTTACACATTAATTTTATTACTCCTCCAGAAGACCAGCCTGGGCCTTTGCATTGCTGCTCATCATTTTTTGTTCATCTCTCCTTAACACTCATTAATCTCTTCCAGATTGTCAAGTTAACTTGCTTTATTTTTCCTACTTCCTTATCTAATTACATATTATAATAATTTCATGGAGTATCTTCTATCATTTATTTGGATGTAAGCGTTGAAATTAGCAAAAGCAGCTGAAGTGGCTTTCTCATTTCCCATCTGACACTAGTTAAAGTGCCTTTTTTGTTCTACTTCAATCTACAAGCCATCTCCTTAGCCTTCCTGCCAATTAAAACCAAAGGATTGTTCAGGCTTAGTGCATATACTGAGTCCTAATGCACCGGTGTTGTAACCATAGTGAGAACCAATACTGATTGTTATATGCAGAAGTGAATTACTTCCAGACTGGTATATTGCCTACTCCTTGCACACACAATGCCACCTCCCTTCCCCTCTCCTTTCTTGTTCTATTATAAGAATATAATGTTTCTGTCTCATATCTTTACTTTCTTCCTTTATGTCTTTATTCAAAAGTTACCTGCATGATGTCTTCCCTAGTTATCTTATCTAAAATTTCAACACTCCTTCCCATTTCATATCCCCACTTCTATACTTTATTTTTTTTCCTTAGCAGTTATCAATAAGATAATATATATTTTGCTTTTGGACTGTCTCCCACATTTAAATGTAAGTTCTCCTAGGGAAATAATTTTTGTCTGCTGTATTTACCATTATAACCCCCGTGCCTAAATAGTGCTAGCACATAGCAAGTGCTTAATAAAAATTTGCTAGGTATGGTGGCTCACACCTATAATTCCAGCACTTAGGGAGGCCGAGGAGGGAGGATCACTTGAGGTCAGGATTCTGAGAGCAGCCAGTACAAGATAGCAACACCTTATATCTACATCTCTTGACATCCCTGATGTCAAGAGACTCTTCCAAAATCGATCTACTAATACCCATACTGTATGTTAGGCAATGGTCAGGATTTTATCAGGCCTGCTACAAAACAAAGGAAGTTCTGGCCCAGTGCAAAGGTTTTCAACTTCAATCTAGGAAATGTCATATTTATAAAGTATCACGGATTTATTTGAATAACAATTTCTGTTGAAAATTGGTTTATGATTACTAAATAGCTGTTATGGGGGAGTATCAAGGAAAATGTCTTTTAGAAAAGATCAGAAGCAGTACATTTTGGCAAGACTTATAACTTACCTCATTGATGCATGTAAGCTTAAAGAGGTTAGAAGGTGATTTAAATTCTTTAGAGGAAATCTATTGGGAGGGGCAACACAACAAGAAGTGGAAAGAGAGGAGAGAATGTTCTTTAAAAGTATAATAGGGAACTGATTGCCTCCTGTTCACCATGATGTTCTGAATATCATTTAAGGGAATTTCACTGGAGTAGTTAATTGAACTTTGCGGTGATAGAAAATGATTTGGCAGTGAACAGCCTTCTGCCTAAACTGTTTATTTTTCAGAGACTTCATTGGTGAGATCAAGTTAGTCCAGGTTGAACAACTGAAATGTCTTAACCTCAATGTAACCTCTTTCTCCCCCGCTCTCCATTTATTTAATATTTTAGCCATTTTCTAAATGTTGTAAAATCTAAATTATTTTCATAGGCTGTCACCTCAAACTAATGTCTACATGTTTCAAGCAACAACAGACCTAGATTACATACAGTTTTTAGATGGGATATACCACTTTAAAATCAGTCATGTAGTTATTGAACATTTCTTCTGAGCTCAGCACTGTGCTAGATGCTATAAAAGAACAGCTATAAGGGCCAGGCGCGGTGGCTCATGCCTGTAATCCCAGCACTTTGGGAGGCCGAAGCGGGTGGATTACGAGGTCAGGAGATCGAGACCATCCTGGCTAACATGGTGAAACCCCGTCTCTACTAAAAATACAAAAATAAACCAGGCATGGTGGCGGGCACCTGTAGTCCCAGCTACTCGGGAGGCTGAGGCAGGAGAATGGCGTGAACCCGGGAGGCAGAGCTTGCAGTGAGCCGAGATCGTGCCAGTGCATTCCAGCCTGGGCGACAGAGCAAGACTTCGTCTCAAAAAAAAAAAAAAAAAAAAAAAGAAATAGCTATAAGTACATATCATGCAAAACAAGAGAGTAAGAACAATCTCTCTTAAAAGTCTCTTCCTACTAGTTAAAGATAGCTGTATAAGGAGAACATACCTGAAGAATGGATAGAATTTTTCCGAGAAAGGATGGGAAGAAAAGAATTTACTCCAAGACAGGGAAACAGCATGTGGTAAGACACCTATAGGCCATATTCATAAGACCATTAAAAAGGGTACATATTGGCCGGGTGCGGTTGCTCACACCTGTAATCCCAGCACTTTGGGAGGCCGAGGCAGGCGGATCACTTGAAGTCAGGAGTTCAAGACCAGCCTGGCCAACATAGCGAAACCTCTTCTCTACTAAAAATACAAAAATTAGCTGGGCGTGGTGGCGCGTGCCTGTGGTCCCAGCTACTTGGGAGACTGAGGCAGGAGAATCACTTTAACCCAGGAGGTGGAGGTTGCGGTGAGCCAAGATCACACCACTGCACTCCAGCCTGGGTGAGGGAGTGAGACTCTGTCTCAAAAAAAAAAAAACAAAAAAAAACCAAAAAACAAAAAAACGATGCAGGGATACTTATTGTGGCATCTTGAGAAATAAGATTAAAAATTTAGTATGAAGAACAGATTGTGAGGGGCTGAAAAAGCCAGCCAGAGGAATTTAAACTTGTTAAGTTAGGAAATAAACCATTGAAAGTTTCTTGAGAAATGGAATAGCATGGCGAAAACAGTATAGAAGGAGGAGAAATAGTGCATCAAAGAAAGTAATTTTTATTGTTATTTAATATTATAATTTTAGTAATTATTGTAATTTTTTCTTTTTCTTTTTTTCTTTTTTCTTTTTTTTTTTTTTTTTTTTGAGACGGAGTTTCATTCTGTTGCCCAGGCTGGAGTGCAATGGCAATCTTGGCTCACTGCAACCTCCACCTCCTGGGTTCAACGGATTCTTCTGCCTCAGCCTCCTGAGTAGCTGGGGCTACAGGCGCCCGCCACCACACCCAGCTAATTTTTGTATTTTTAGTAGAGATGGAGTTTCACCATATTGGCCAGGCTGGTCTCGAACTACTGACCTTGTGATCTGCCCGCCTCAGCCTCCCAAAGTGTTGGGATTACAGGTGTGAGCCACCGTGCCCAGCCGTAATTATTGTAATTTAAGTAACATTAAGAGATGCATCATTCTGTCTGGGAATTAGGTATACAGGGTGAATTTTTGGTCCTGAAAGAGTATAGTGATAGAGACAGACATGTAAATAGTTAAAATATAGTGCTACAACTACCACAATGGGGTAGTGTGGAAGAATATGGGTATAACATTTAACTCTATCATAGAAAACCTCCTGGAGAAGATGCTATCTGAGCAGAGACCTGAAGAATGAATAGAGTCAACTATGCAGAGGGCTAAATGTACACAGACCTGGAGGCAAGAGTCTGAATCTTTAAGAAACCTGCAAGCAGTGTTTTCTGGCTAGCATGAAGCATGCAAAGATGTAGGGAAAGAGAGAAGGTCATGCGACAAGAATGGAGAAGTTAGAGGGATCAAATCTTGTAGGGCCTTGACATCTGACTTAGGATATTGGACAGTATCCTAAGGGAATCAGGGAGCCATTAGAGGATTTTAAGTTTAAAAGCGACATTGTTAAATTTATATTTTAGTAGTCGCAAAGTAGAAAATGGCTAAGAATGGAGTGTAGACCAGAGACTGAGAGACTATTAAGAGACTCTCATAATATTCCAGGTATGAGCTGAACTAAAATAAAAGCAGTGGGGTTAGACAATAATGGACAATCTTGAGAAATATCAAGGAAGTGGTATTGGCTTGATGATTGATTAGAGGTTGTGTGGAATTATTTATGTGTCAGAAATTCTCATATATTACTATTAAATAATATAATAGTGCTATGTATGAGGTATTATTATGTCAGCTTTACAAATAATGAAAAATGCTCAGAGGTTAAATAATTTAACTTAGGATCTATAACTAATAAGTAAAAAAAGCAGAAGTAAAATCTAAGCCTCTTTGGCTCAGATCCTCACAGCAAAAAAAAATATGCAGATAAATGTGTTGAGGGAAAATGCCTTATATTTTGTGTGACCTCCACACATTAAAAAATAATACAATGTTATAAAATACCTTTATTTCAATAAAAATGTTCATGCCTTTAAAATATGATTTATTAATATTTGTTCCTACTTCTCTTAAATTTACAGATATAAGAAGAATCTCTGCATTAATATCATATCATTTTATGAATGGATGTTTAACAAAGATACTTTTAAGACATAGGTTCAGTTATTCTTGAAATAATATTTAGCCTATTTTATAATAATTTCAATTGGCTTTGCCATTCTGCCCACCTCAGTTTTTAAATGGTTCTTAAGAGTGAGATCCACTCAGAGAAGAATGAACTCTCATTTTAAAGAAGCCTGACTGAGTTTTCTCACATCATTATGTCTTCTACTTTTCATAATAATGAGAAAGTTGTGCCAAAGTAAAATAAGAGGTGGCTTGAGAACATCAAGAAACCTGATAGCTGACAATATTACCATAGAAAGGGAGTCCAAGAAATGAGAATGCTGAGTCTCATTCCACCACTAACTACCTCTGATAGTTAATTTTGTCTCTCTGAGCAGTTGACTTTGTCTCTGGCTCCCATATTTCCTGTTTGTAAAAATCGTGAATTATAGTATCTGCATGTCAAGGGGAGAAGCCATGAATTGTCTTTCAAATGTAAGAAATATATTTCTCATAGAGTTTGGTTCTAGTAGAGGGATTTAGTTCTACCACCTAAAATGATCTCCACTCTCCACCCTCCACCCTACCTACCTACATGTACACATGCTCACAGACTCACTGAAGACATCCTCCACATCTTAAAGCATTCCATTCTTTCTCTCTGGGACTAGCCTGAGGGAAAACTGGGAAGTAACTAAAATTTGTCCTTGATGCTCTTGGAATTATTTGTATTCCATATAATTATTAGTATTTCATATAATACTAACCACATAAGTTAGTTATGTTACAGATAAGGACATGGAGAATCAAAATATTTTAATTCGTTTGTCTAATGTCACCTGACCAATACAATGTAGAATTGGAATTTGAACAAGGTCTGTTTGATTTCAAAGTCCATGGTCTTTCCATTTCATCACCCTGCCTTGGGTGAATTTGTTCCTTAACCCTAAGCTCACCTCCACTGTGACATTCCATGAGAAAGAGAAGTCTATAACTTACCTACTTCTCCACACTGGCATGGTTACCTGTCTGGTTCAGTTTCTGTCTAGAAGTGCTTTCCTTTCCAGAGTGATAGGAAGCTAGTCAAGTAATCTATGCCAATAGGCTTATAACCATCTCTTCCAAAGTCTTGTGAAATAGGTATATGTGTTTTATGAGTGGTCTTTTAGGCAAAAATAAAGTACAATTGATCCTTGAACAACACAAGGTTGAATGTCATGGGTCCACATATACCTGGATGGGTCCACATATACCTGAGATAATTGACTGCTTATGTTATCAGTAATGTCAACAAGTAAGCTATTAGTAGCTAGGTTTTAAGGCAGTCAAATTAAAGTTATATAGAGACTTTTGATGGGGATTTGGGGGACAGTGCTCCTAACTCCTGAATTGTTCAAGGGTCAGCTGTAATTCAAAACGATGTTTCTGATGAGATTATCTTGCTTCCTTCATATACTTCTATGTAGCTCGAGTTGCCAGTAATTACTCATCCTCCCTTCTCTTAGGGTTTTTCTAGATCCTCTTGAAGTCTCTGCCATCTCCTTTTCAAGGATCCTCTTTTATCTCCTTGAAAGTTCACCTGAAGACTCATTTCCTTTAGGAGACATTTTCTAATTTAATCTCAACCAGTCCTGATTAAGCAATTCTTGGTATTTACAAAAGTTCTATAATAAAAGCTGGCTTATTCAGCCTTCTGAATAGGAAAGCCTCAATAACCAGCATGTCTACTTACCTACAGTTCACTAATAATTGATTCTCACATGCCGATCTTGAGGGGCTGCAAGATTCTAAAATATTAAAGGCTGAATAAAGTTTGCTTAATGTAGTTGTGTTAGTTTCTTATGGCTGCCATATCAATTACCCCAGATTTAGTGGCTTCAAACCATACAAATTTATTGTCTTACAATTCTGGAGGTCAGAAGTCCAAAATGGATCTCACTGGGCTAAAATCAAGGTGTGGGCAGGGCTGTATTTCTTTCTGGAGGCTTTAGGGGACAGTCTGTTTCCTTGCCCTTTCAAGCTTCTGGATGCTGCCCTCATTCCTTGGTTTGTGGCCCCTGCCAGCCAGCAGTCACATCACTCAACCTTTGCTGCTGTAATCACATCTTTCATCCTCCTGCCTCTTTCTTTCCCTAATGAAAACCCTTGTGATTATATCCAGTCTGCCCGGATAATCCAGGATAATCCCACGCTTCTTAATTTAATCACATCTCCAAAACCCCTTTTGCCACATAAGGTGCCATATTCACAGGGTCTGGGGATTAGGACATGCATGTGGACATCTTAGGAGAGTGGGGCAGGGCATTCTTTTGCCTGTCTCAGTAGTTAATGTCAAGTTTATTTTATTCCAATTTTTTAAAATTAGTAAGAACCTATATGTATAGATGATACATATGTGATATGTATATGTAAATTTATTTAATAAATGTATTAACTTTCTCTAATCATGCTGGAAAATAGACTTTTCTTACTTTTTATTTTATATGTATGATTTAATCATTTCATTGACATACATTTTTGTCTTTTCAGATGTACCATAAATTTCCTTTTTATGTCCTTTTTTCCCTCCTGAAACTTAATCAAAGTTCCATGATGTAATTTTTTGTTTTTTTTTTTTTTTGAGGTGGAGTCTCGCTCTGTCGCCCAGGCTGGAGTGTAATGGTGCTATCTCGGCTCACTGCAAGCTCTGCCTCCTGGGTTCACACCATTCTGCTGCCTCAGCCTCCCGAGTAGCTGGGACTACAGGCGCCCGCCACCACGCCTGGCTAATTTTTTGTATTTTTAGTAGAGAAGGGGTTTCTCTGTGTTAGCCAGGATGGTCTCCATCTCCTGACCTCGTGATCCACCCGCCTTGTCCTCTCAAAGTGCTGGGATTACAGGTGTGAGCCACCGCGCCTGGCTGGTTCCATGATGTAATTTTCAATAAACATCATTAACTTGACCCCTGCATTCTTGAAGTAACATCTCTCTACGGCATTTGCACTTTTGGAACTTGGTTTTTATGGCAAAAAGAGAAACAATTTCTGCTTATGTGGGAACAAAACAATTACTGAAACATGAAAAATTCACATGGAAATGAATTGAAATAAATACTTTGTAATTATCAAGTCAGAAAACCAGGTATTAATTCTAAATTGCTAGTTCCATGTAATCATTCATTTATTCAACAACTACTTATTACTACCTACTGTGATTTAAGTCCTGAAGATACAATAGTGAACAAGAAAGACCTGTTCCCTCATTGAGTACATTTGAGTGAGGAGGACAATCAATAAGCAAATAAACAAACAAACTACAAATAAAGATATGATAAATACTGTGAGGAAAGCAGATAAGGAGCCGTGATTGACAAAAATGGCAGTGGAGAAACACCTTTATGTAACATTTTGTGTGTGAAGGCCACCCTTTGAGCATGATAATTAATGTAAGACCCAAAGATAAGAAAGAGCCAATCATGAAAAAGCCAGAGGAGAAACATTTTAGGTAGAGGGAGCTGCAAGCGCAAAGCACAACAAGAAAATTGTGGCTATGTTTTAGGAAATTAAAGCAGGCCGGAGTAATTGAAGCCTAGTAAACAGGGGAGAATGGCAAAAAATGAAGTTGCGGTGGCAGAGAAAAGTCAAATTATGTGAAAGTTGGCACTTTAGTGGGTGCCAGTAAATAAAAGTCCTCTGTGTTACTCCAGAATTTGGAACCAAGATGGGAGATGAGACTCAAGAGTTACTAGATGAAGATCAAAATGGCAGCTTTATTACTGAGTCTGCTGATTGGAGAATTGCAGCCAAATGGGCTTCCAAATACTCCTCCCACTGTCATCACCCTGAATACATTTACCTCTCTATTGTCCCAGGCAGAGCGGAACTGCAGGCTTTCCTTCCAGGGGCAGGCTAGTAAGTCACTGGCAGAGAATTAAGCCATTTTCAAGGAAAGAACCCAATAAGACACACATGCTCAATTTCTCTTCCCCTCTCACCAATGAGAGGATTCTCTCTTCCCCTCAGGGAGAGAAAGGAGTACTAAGGGATGAGAGTAGATGAGGCAGTTAATGAGAGGGACCAGGAATGTTTCCATGGTCTTCTTCCTGTTGATAGAAAGTTCTCTCCTCTCTATGAAATGTGTGGAGTGGGGGTAAATATTATCCTTACACTCCTATCAGATGGGTCTTTTAGGCCATGATTTGGAATCAGAATTTCATTTTAAATACTAAAAGAAAGCATTGAAAGCGTTTTACCCATAAAGCTACATAGACCGACCGACAGTTTGGAAAGATCACTCTGGCAGCTATGGAGATAAGTGGAAATAAGGTGAGCTTCCAGGAGGCTGTTGCAGAGATCAGGGTGAGACATGCAGAGGCTGCACCAGGGCAGTTGTGGTGGAGAAGGAGAAAAACAAGCTTTTCTACAGGTAGAAAATCTGGGGCTTGCTGATGAATTGGATTTAGAAGAGAATGTAAAGGAGGAGTTTAGGTTAAATATTAAAGTCCTGGTTTAAGTGATTGGATGAATGACCACGTCATGTACTGAAATAAGGAAAACTGGGAGAGAAATAAGATGGCAACAGAATTATACTCTGGATTTGCCAACATGAAAATTGTTGGTGAGTCAGCAAGAATAATTTCTGTGAATACTGGGAAGGGAAGTTAGATTTAGGGTTTGAAGAACTAGTAAATGATTGTGTGTGTACACACACTTTTTAAAAGAAGTTATGCTGTGGAGGTGAGCAGAGAAATGGCATAGTAGGGGAAATATGAGATCTTAAAATATTTTTTGTTGTTGTTTTATACTGAAGGAAATAATCTGTTGGTGACACAGGGTAGACAGAATAACTAGAGGTACAAAACTTTTGGAGAGGCAGGAGTGGGTGAGGATCCTGAGAGAAGGACACCCAACGTGAACCTTTGTAACAGAAATGAAGACCATGCATATACAGGGGGGTTGGTAGATTTGATGTCAAGAAGATGGAAAGTCTCCACTGAATAACTTCGATTATATTTATGAAGCAAGAGAAGGGGTCATTAATGGAAGGTAAGAGAAGGGGCATGGGAGATAGAAGATTTGAGGAGAGAAGAGAGCATGAAGTCGTTGTGTCCAAAATTATGATTGCAAACCTAAGGCAGAAATAAAGTAGTATTTGCTGGGCAGTGTTGAATGGCCATTTAAGGTTTGGAATCATTGATGAAGAGTTTAGTATGTCAGCCTGGTCGTGTTATTTTCCTCAACAATATTTCATTGTTTATTTGAGGTCCTGATGTGGCCAAGTAATGGTTGCAGTGCAAGTAATAGCACATGTGAACTGAAAGGATAAAATGTTTAAAATTTATATTTCAGAGGTGTTTCAGTTTGTAAGTTTTAGGGTGTGACCATGGGAACAGGTGGTTAAGGAGGAGTAGGGAAAAAATTAAGAAGTCTAGAAACTGAGAGAAAGGTTACTAGCTGAGTCATCACATGGGTGTGATGTATTGGGCCTGTAGTAGGTGGGGTGTGAGGGAAAAAGCAGATGTCACTTGAGAGGACTACTGGGTAAAATTTTGTCCTCAAATGGGAAGTTACTTAAAGTCAAAAATTTGAAGGGAAAATTCCCAGAGGATTGAGTATGTAAGATAGGGTTTTGTTATGTATTGCTGCCCAATAGACCATGTGAAAACTCAGTGTTTTAAAATAACAATTTTATTATCCCTCAAGATACTGTAGGTTGACTGGGCCCAGCTGGGTGATTCTTCTGATTCACATGATGTTAAATGGAGCTGAAATCACTGGAGGCTTTGATAGGGCTGAAACAGCCAAAATGGCTCATTCACATAACTGGTACCTGCTTTAGTGGAGATGGTGGGATAGCTGGGCTCAGGTAGGATGGCTAGTTCTCTCTCTCTCTCTCTCTCATCTCAAGGTCTCTCTTTCTTCACATGAACCTTCCAGCAGTATAGCTGGACTTTTTACATGGCAGCTCAGGGCTTGCAAAAGTGCAAAGGTAGAAGCTGCTAGGCCTCCTTGGGACTTAGACCCAGAATTGGCACAGTAGCACTTCTGCCTTTTTCTTTTGATTAAATTGAAGCACAAGGCCAATCCAGATTCAAGAGAAGGGACTCACAATGATATCAGTACCAGGAGATGTGATCCAATGGGAAACATCTGTGGATATTAGCTACAACAGGAAGTTTATTGATCCTAGATCCAGAATTTTTTGAGGGTAGATTGGAAAGGCTGAGGTAGAACTGATGGTTCAGTTTAGAAGATTACAAAGCAGTATGGGAATGAAAGAGCAAATTGTGGTAGATGACAGAGGGACTTCCACCTCCCAACATAACAGAAGTAAACAGAAATTTGAGGCATGACGGGAGTGGTTCTACTAAAGCAGTGATTTCCAAATTTCTTTATGATCATGCACCCCTTACTAAAATTTGTGAACACTCCTCAAATATTATAATTACATAATTATTAATTATATATATTTAATAATATTTTGGCCAGGCTTGGTGGCTCATGCCTGTAATCTCAGCACTTTGGGAGGCCAAGGTGGGTGGATCACTTGAGGCCAGGAGTTCAAGGCCAGCCTGGCCAACGTGGTGAAACCCCGCCTGTATTAAAAACACAAAAGTTAGCCGGGGCATGGTGGTGCATGCCTGTAATCCCAGCCACTCGGGAGGCTGAGGCACGAGAATCACTTGAACCCAGGAGGCAGAGGTTGCAGTGAGCTGTGATAGTGCAACTGCACTACAGCTTGGGCAACAGAGCAAGACTCTGTCTCAAAGAAACAAGCAAACAAATATTTTACTGTAATATATACTTTGTAAAAGAACCAAAAACAAAAATTAAGAATGGTGAGATAAATATTAAATAATATTTTTCAAATTATTTTATATTGCTTATCAATAGTTTAATAACATTTTTGCCTTTTCTGGTGAGAACAATTTGACTAAAAATGCGTCATCAATTAAAAAAATCTTGATTTTATACCTTGTGATACTGTGGCTCAGAAGTCTGGTTCTAAGTTCAGTGTATTCCCATGTTGGTTTTAATAGCTATTTTAGCTGAAAGAGCTATCTCACAAAAATAAGTACAGCCAGATGGAAGAAGTGCACCATTAGTTGTGCTTGCTAAATCATGATATTCATTTTTTCAGTCCCATCCCCAATTATGCAAAGAGTTTTATTGAAATTCAGCTAGAAAATATATATCATCCCCAATATCAGTCACTTTTTCTTGCAAACTAATCAGAAGTTATTGCATTTTTGTATTTTTAAGAAATGGGTTCAAAACATATTGAAACTACTCATTTGGAAGATCTTTTACAAACAGTTCTTAAAACTCTATTATTTCCAAGTTTTTTAATGTGCAGATATTAAGAGTTTCTACATTTAAATTGTTTTCAGCAATAAAATTAGATAATGTTGGAACATTTTCAAGTTTCTATTTTAAAAATTCTCTCTCCATAGCACAAATGTCTTTTGAACAGCAGCCATTTTCTCCTTCATTATTAAAAATGTCACCTTTACCTTGAAAGAACTGATTAAGAATATTATTTTTAAAAAATCTGACAGTCACTTGTATTCACAGAAAAGGTCAGCATACTAGGAACGCTTGTTAAAATGTTTAAAAGATAGGTGTTGCTACTCAGCTTTTAGTTGGATAGTCCTTTCTGCAAGGTAACTGGTGAACTGGTTACTATGTGGTAAAAAAAATGTTCATGATCAGCCCTTGTCTTATTACAAAGTATCACAATGACTCTATTATTATTTCAAAGATCTTACTTTATAAAAAATAACCACATTGACAATGTTCTATGTGGCACATAAATTGTGGTACAGTATAAACATAAACTGTGGTACAGTGTAGTACATAGAAGAGGAATGAATTTATGATGGTCTTGCTGCCAAGCCCTACTGGGGCTACCTTCTGTACTATATTTGACTTCTGGAACATATGAGAACAACAGTGTTGGTCATTATGTATTAGAAAAACATAAATCCTTCCATATTTTCTAGATACAAAATAAAGTACAAAGTCTGTACTTGATGTGAAATTTATAGAAAATAAAGTTTATACTTATAAAGTATACATTTTCTCCTTGCTTCCCATTGTTTTGTTTTGCACACCCCATGTTAGAAACTACATTCTTTGAGGATGAGGAGAGTGGATATTTTGCTCTAGCAACATGGTCCTATTTAAAACAGTAAAACAGCTCAGTAAAACAGTGACTTGGGTGACTAAAGGTTCCAGGTTCTCAAGACACCTGGTATGATAGAGAATTCATGCCAAAACATCTTACTGCAGTACATTTATTAAGTACCAACTACATACAGACAATCGTTTAAACAATGACTTTTTTTTTTTTTTTTTTTTTTTTTTTTGAGACGGAGTCTCACTCTGTCGCCAGGATGGAGTGCAGTGGCACGATCTCGGCTCACTGCAACCCCCACCTCCAGGTTCAAGCGATTCTCCTGCCTCAGCCTCCTGAGTAGTTGGGACTACAGGTGCGCACCACCATGCCCAGCTAATTTTTGTATTTTTAGTAGAGATGGGGTTTCACCATGTTGGCCAAGATGGTCTTGATCTCTTGGCCTCGTGATTTACCTGCCTTGGCCTCCCAAAGTGCTGGGATTACAGGCGTGAGCCACTGTGCCCAGCCAATGACTTTTACATTGAAGGAAAGGAACTGGACAGGAGAGAGAAGAATGAAGAAATTGATACTGGTGGTTTATTTTTCTCACACAAAATTTTTAACCACCAAATCAGCGAGAATTAAAGCTCTTAGTATTTGACAAGACCTCTAGATGATAAAGAGATCTGCTCTAACTCCTAGTCTTCGGGTGTATGTTACATACATTTATTTATTTGTTCACTCATTTACTTAATGTTTGTCCCAGAACTTCTGGCATACATTTTGTTTTTTGTCTTTGTTTCGTTTTTTATATACAGAATGACATTCAAAACACACATTTTAGAAGTGAGACAAATATGGTTCAAGGATTCACCAAATTTTACACTAGTAGTGAACAATAAGCTAAGCACCCAGGTTTTCCACCAAAAATGCTTCTTTTAAGAAGTTCTTCAGTTACTGAGATGGAATTTAATCAGGCATAAAATGCTCAAAATAAAACACAGACATCCCCCCAAACAAAAAAGCACAACAGGACTTGTGCCATCAGGGGAAAAGCATGACGTCCAGTTGCTGAAGTCAGATAACAGTATGCCGAGTTCAGAAATGACTGGTGGGTGGCTTGCAGCACTAGAAGTATCACTCAAAAGAAGAAAGTTCTTGGAAACGGTTGTCTTCTTAAAACAAATAAGCACATTGGACCAGCGTCTTACAGGCAAATCCTAGAATTTCTACATGCAGTAACATAGGAAAAGAAGATCTTTTTGGTTGTTTGGGAGCAATTATAAAATGGGCATTGGATGTAGGAGTCTGCAGCTTAGTGGAGAAGAGTTCATGCTCTGTTTTTTTCTCATAATTCAGAGGCTCCTTCTCCTCTGCTGTCCTCTAAATACTGGTGGCCTCCCTTCCCTTTCTTTCTCTTCTCTTCTCTCTTCTACACACTTTCCCTGAATGTCTCCATTTACTCCCAAGACTATATGTCATCTCTGATCTTGACACTGAGCTCCAGATGTGTATATCCAGTTACCTATAATGATACTTCCTCTTGCATATCATAAACAATTCAATTTTTAAGTGGTCAAAATAGACATTTTGATTATCCTCTCACCCTCAGTCTGCTCCTTTCCCATTCCTTACCATCTCATTTTATTTAAACCAAAAACCTAGAAGCCATTGTCAGGTATTTTTTTCTTTTTAGACAAAGTTTTGCTTTTGCTGCCCACGCTGGAGTGCAGTGGCACCATCTTGTCTCACTGCAACCTCTGCCTACTATGTTCAAGTGATTCTCCTGTCTCAGCCTCCTGAGTAGCTGGGATTACAGGCGTGTGCCACCACACCCAGCTAATTTTTGTATTTTTAGCAGAGACGGGTTCACCATGTTGGCCAGGCTGGTCTTGAATTTCTGACCTCAAGTGATCTGACTGCCTTGACCTCCTAAAGTGCTGGGATTACAGGCATGAGCCACCGCACCTGGCCTTAGAAGTCACTGTTGATTTTCCTTTTTCTTTCTCTGTTGCCCTCACATTCGATCCGTTGAATTTCTCCTTCTTTCAAAACATATTTTGCATCTATCCAATTCTACTGTTATACCACCTTGGTCCAAGCCACCATCTTCTCATGTCTAAACTTTTTGAAGAGCCTCCCAGTTAGTCTTCGTTCCTTTTATCTTGCCCACTTACAATCTAATCTCCATAGAACAGTCAGAACCATCATTATAAAATATAAATCAGGTCCATCACTCCCAAGCTTAAAACCTTCCGAAAACCTCCTACTTCACTGATGTGGTTTGGATTTGTGTCCTTGACAAATCTCATGTTGAAATGTAATCCCTAGCATTGGAGGTGGGAGATGTTTAGATCATTGGAGAATATCACTCATGAATGGCTTAGCACTGTCCTCTTGGTGATGAGTGAGTTCACACTAGATCTGGTTGTTTAAAAGTGTGCAACACTTCCCACTCTCTTTCTCTCTTGTTCCTGCTCTGGCTATGTGATGAGCTTACTCCCACTTCACCTTCAGCCATAACTAAAAACTTGCCGAGGCTTCCCTAGAAACTGAGCAGATACAGGAGCTGTGCTTGTACAGCCTGCAGAATTGTGAGCCAATTAAACCTCTTTTCTTTATAAATTATCCAGTCTCAGGTATTCCTTTATAGCAACACAAGAACAGACTAATACACTCACTTAAAAGAAAACCCAAATTTTTTACCCTGCTAGTAAGACCTCAAGTGATCTATCCTATGCTTGTATTTTTGTCATCATTTTAAATCTTTTCCCCTTACACTTTGTTTCCCGAACATGCCAAGCACATTCCTACCTTAGATATTCTCTCAGTAAGGAATGCTCTTTCCTCAGATATTTCTATAACTGCCTCCTTCTTGTCATTCCCATCACAGATCAGGTATCTTGGAAGAATTCAGTTGCCTCATTTTTATAATGTATACAAACAAACAAATCTAAAATCGTCATTCTATCACATCATCCTATTTTATTGTATTATAGCCTTATTCTTTACTGGTATTTTGTTATTTTGTTTGCTTGTTTGTTTTTTCTCTGTGCTAGAGTGAGACAACAATGAAAACAAGGATTTTGTCTTTCTTGTTAACTGTCACTGTTAGAACAGTGCCTGGCATGATTTTCTTTTAAACATCAATTGCATGCTCTAACTGACTGCAGTGGAAGAGACAGCTTTAAAGATTAAATAATTATTAAAGAATTAAAGAATATTATAAGCCTCATTAAAAAGTATCTCAAATCTAATGTTACTTAATGTGAGAATGGACCATATTCAACAACATTTGTTTGGTAGTGGGAGAGATGTCTAATGATATACTGTTTTCTAAAATATCTTCATAGCTTTAGACTTCTGATTCAGAGAATGAATGAATAGGCTCAAGGAGCACTTCTGAGCATGTGCCATGCTGGTGACATTGATAGGATTATATAGGAGATACCATTGTGGAATGGAGCCACCTCATTTATCCAGCTTCTTATAAGGGGTTGGGAGAAAAAGACCACAGAAATAGTACTAAAATAGCAATTGCAGTAGTCCCCCCATTATCCAAAGAAGATACATTCCAAGCCCCCCCAGTGGATGCCTGAAACCTCAAATAGTACTGAACTCTATATATACTGCACTACGTTTTTTCCTGTAAATACATACCTATGATAAAATTTAATTTATAAATTAGGCACAGTAGGAGCTTAACAACTTCTCCTTGGCATATGTTTGGCTTCTCTTTGGCATATCTGAAATGCCAGCAGCATTACTCTTGTACTTTGGGGTCATTATTAAATAAAATAAGGCTTACTTAAACACAAGCATTTCCATACCGATACCAAAACAGTTGATCTGATAACAGAGACAAGCTGACTAAGGGGCAGGTGGGTAACATCTACAGTGTGGGTACACTGGACAAAGGCATGATTCACATCCCAGATAGGTTGGAGCAGGAAAATGAGAGAGTTCATCCTGCTACTCAAAATGATGGCAATTTAAAACTAATGAATTGTTTGTTTCTGGAATTGTCCATTTCATATTTTCAGACCACAGTTGACCACAGGTAACTGAAGCCATGGAAAGTGCAACTGTGGATAAGGGGGAACTATGTACAAGAGAAAAACAGGATAGAGCTGGATAGAATTCAAATCAATTGCCTAAACAAAGATCAGTTATTATAAATATGATTAATGCCTTTAAAGAAAGTTTCAATGTAAACATTGAGGCAAACATAGTTAAAAGGAATCACTTCACGTATACCTTCAGGCCAGGCCACTAGGTTTTTAGCTCTTAAATAAACCCAACTGTGAGATACTGCTTAGAAATATAGACTCACTACAAGTTTAATGGGAAAACAGAGGAAGGAATGATATAGCAAACAGCATTAAACTGCTGTTTCTGGGAAGTTTTTCTCATATAACTGCCTTATTTCTTTTGGTTCTGGCTCAGAACCTCCTCAGCAGCCTTTCTAACCACCTTACTGAGGTCCTCCTTTCCCTTTCCCCCTTCTCAAAATCTAGCCAGCTTGCATATATGTCTTAGCAAGCAAAATCTAATTGCCAGCCAAACTATGACCACCTATTTTTCCTCAAGTGCATTGTAGGATGGTTAGCACAGGGGTGCGGGTGGGGAGTATGACTCAACTCTTCAGAACATAATATAATAGACATATATGAACATATTACAGATATGCTCAGAAAATGAAAAATAATCCAGTGCTGTCAGAGTTCAAACTTTATGTTGGAGATTAGTTGGTAATAAACCTGAAAAGGTAGCTTAGAGCATGATCACCCTTGAATGCCACTCCAAGCATTTTGACTTTGTAGGTCAAGGAGAATCTTGAAGATTTTTTAACAGAGATGTTTCATGATCTGATTTGTGTTATAGGAAGATAATTCTGGGAACAATATGAAAGATAAATTAGAGAAATAGCCCAACCAAAACAGGAATACGGTTGCAGCTATTTTGAAGGTATTCAATGATGACAGTATAAAATAAAGTATTGGAAACGACATGGAGGAGAAAATTTCCAGATACATTTTAAACTCAAGAATCTTTAGAATTTTATGTTTGGTTACATGTAGATGGTGAGAGGTTCTCTTGTTTCTAGTTTTGGCAACTGGTAGGAGAGCGATGCAATTAACCAAGTTAGAGAACGTAGACAATGAACAGCTGTGCTTTTTTTTGAGACAGAGTCTCGCTCTGTCGCCCAGGCTGGAGTGCAGTGGCGGGATCTCAGCTCACTGCAACCTCCACCTCCCAGGTTCAAGCGATTCTCCTGCCTCAGCCTCCCGCGTAGCTGGGACTATAGGTGCGTGCCACCACGCCCGGCTAAATTTGTATTTTTAGTAGAGAAGGGGTTTCACCGTGTTAGCCAGGATGGTCTCGATCTCCTGACCTTGTGATTTGCCCAACTTGGACTCTCAAAGTGCTGGGATTACAGGCGTGTGCCACCGCGCCCGGCAGCTGTGCTATTTTTGTGTATGGTTTATGATTTGTTTTTGTGGGCAGAGATAATGATTTAGATGTCAAACCAGACAAATGTGAGTAGGAACACAACATACCCACATGAAGATTTACAGCATTTGGAAATGCGGGTATGGGGTTTAAAGTAAAGGTTAAAGTGAACGGAAATTAGCTGTACAGAATGATGGTGAAAGCTGTGGAAAAAGATAAATGTTGCATGAGCAGGTATGGAGCTGGAAGAAAATAGTGCTTAGAACACGTATTGCATTTAAGAAATCTGTGGGAAAGGCTGGGCGCAATGGCTCACAATCCCAGCACTTTGGGAGGCCGAGGCGGGCGGATCACAAGGTCAGGAGTTTGAGACCAGTCTGGCTAACAAGGTGAAACCCCGTCTCTACTAAAAATACAAAAAATTAGCCGGGTATGATGGCGGGCGCCTGTAGTCCCAGCTACTCGGGAGGCTGAGGCAGGAGAATCGCTTGAACCCAGGAGGCGGAGGAGGTTGCAGTGAGCTGAGATCGCGCCACTGCACTCCAGCCTGGCCGACAGAGGAGACTCTGTCTAAAAAAGAAAAGAAAAGAAAAGAAATCTGTGGGAAAATAAGAGCAGAGAAACAGGTTGACAAGGAGTGATCAGGAGAAGGATTGTCAGTGAAAAGGAAACTATTACTTTTGAAAAAAGAAAGAACAATGTGAGAACTCAAGGAAAAGAACTGGGATAATTTAGAAGTGGTTAGATTTTTAATCACAAATTTTAATTACCATAAACTGTTTACTTTTGATGTAAATATTCCAAAGTATAGAAAAAAATAAATAAACTATTCACAGTTGTAAGCCTTGATTGTAGTGAAGTGAGGAAGAGGGAGGATAGAGGAAAAGTTTCAGCTCTGAGAGTGAGCTGGATGGAGCAAAAGAATTATCATTTTCAGGGCACTTTTGTGTGGGTCCAGAAATCTAAATTAGACTTCTCTTCTTTCTCCATATCTTTTTTATTAAGGGTCAGTGAACTTTTTCTATAATGGAGCAGGTAGTGCATATTTCAGGCTCTTTTTGGGATACACTCTGTCCCCCAGCTACTCAACTGTGTCATTGAAGAGCAAACGCAGCCTTAGACAATATATAAACAAGTGGGTATGGCTGTGTTCTAGTCAACTTTTGTTTACCAAAACACATGATGGGCTGAATTTGTCCCACTGATGACAGTTTGGTGATCCCGGTTCTTGATCAGTAACAGCAGACAGATTGATATCTGGTTAGGTTGGGACATGTTGATCTTGATTTTTCCTATTTAACTCTCAGTCTTCTACAGAGGAGGTTCAGTTTTGCCCAGCTAAAAATCACTTTTATCTTCAGATTTTGATCTCAGTATGGTAAACATCAATCTGGTGATCTCTGAAGATCCAGAAAGTGTGATGATCTTGTTACACGGACAAGATCAGTTTGACTTTGTTGAGGTAAAAACCTGTTTGATTAACTAACTATTCACCGGTCTTTGATGTTTCTTGGGATCCTGACAATTACATGCAGTTTTTGTGACTCCTTCATTATCTTTTTAGTCTTCAATTTAATTGATAAATCAATGTATGTTAACAAATAGACCAATCCCATTGATAAATATTAGTTATGTCACAATTACTTGTCTTATTTGTTTGTATTATTAATCAATACATTGCTTATATAATATCTATTGCTGATCACTGCATTAAAATGGGCTCAAAATGCTCAAAATAGGTGACTGTCACTTTTTCACCCTTTGCCAATATTTCCTGTGTGCTTTATTCAATTAGTCTTTCTCTTTTCATCATAGTTAAAAATACAATATGTATTCATTCATTTATTCATTGAAATCTTGAGTGTGATGTGTCAGGCAAAATGCAATGTGCTGGGAGTACAAAGACAGTCCTGCTAAATTTGTGCCCTCAAGATGTTCCCTGTTAATAGATAATAAAGATTCCAGGAGGAAGGAATGTTCAACAGCATCAAATATGGCAGAAAATTTAAACATGGGAAGTTAACAGAGGCCATTAGATTTAGCAATGAGAAAGTCATAGGTGACCTCAGAGAGAGTTTTAGTAGAATATCAGTGTAAGTGGACATAACTCTTAAATTCTTCATACCCTCACCTATACTACTATGCTCAGATTCCCAACACAGCATGAGAGCAGTCTGTTTTTCAATAGAGCTTGTTTGTTGAACTCTTTCTTTACTTTCCTGGTGGATTGGATCTCAGAGCTGTATCAATAAGAATTCTTAGTTGTAAGCAACAGAAACAAGCTCTGCTAAGAATAAGTAGAAAAGGATTTCGTAAAGGATATTGGCTACCCCCCAGAATCTCTAGAATGGAAGTCAAACCAAGCTTGGAGGTTACACAGGAAACCAACTCTGAAGTCTGAAGCCAAGCTAGTCCCATAAAGGCACCACTGCCCAGATGCTGCATCTCAAATAGCTGCCAACATATAAGAAACACTAACTATGGCTACTATAGAACTGCTACCACTGCAGCTTCTGGATTGGATTCCGCACAGTGCCTGCTTCCTTGCGCCACTAACTCCTGAGTCAAAGTGGAGCCTGGGTACATTTTATTCTACCTGCAAAGGAAAGTAGGAAAGAGAGTATCTAGCTTCTGTGTGGGGCAGGGAGTCTTTGTCTCCCATCAAGATTTATAAGGTAGAGAATTCCCCAAATCCAGAGAAGGACTCCAATGCTGGGCAGTCAAAAGAAATGACAAGTGTCTGCTACAAGAATTCAGAAAGACATATACAGGTATCCTTCACTTCTCTTACTTCAGCCTGAGGCTGAGAGTCAATCTCAAACAATTCGTTCTGTACTTTTTCCATCCCTGTATCTGTAAAACAATAGCATTCCTCAGTCCAAGAGAGAAAACATAGCCCCAGAATTCCAAAGGTCCAAAAGACCCACAAACTTTCTTAGCCCCAAAAGGCAAAATCCTGAAAGCTCACAGGCTAAAAGATTTAAAGCCACAAAAGCCAACAGACCAAAAATCCATGACTCCCTCAGCTTCCTTTAATGCTCCTATAAAAGTTTTAATCCAGTCTTTTTACCCAAAGAGATAAAGGGAGAAGAAAGGAAAATATCTGTTCTTTGCTCTTCTAGGCAAGGTGTTCTCCCCCAGCTTTTCAGGATATTTTCCTATTCCTCAGGCTCACCTTTACCGTTGTTCCTGGTTTGGGATATTTTATGATGACGCCATACTCCTCTCTCCATACCTTCCTCTACTGAGTGATTTTAATGCCTTCTTCCTTCACCCTTTTCTGAGGTTAATGAAAGGATAGGATGTGGGATGAATAGTGACCACAATATTCATTCAATACAATAGTCAGTGAATACCAATTTTTTAGAAAGGTAGGTAGCATTTGTTTTCCCAGATCCTCATCCCCTTATGGTGCAAAGTGAATTATATTGGATTGACAGGATTTTTTTTTGTTTTATATTGTATATAACTTATCCATAGGTGGGAGTTTGTCTTTGCTTTGTGTATGAGGTTCCAAACTGGCATCCCTCAAGTCAAATTCTGCCTGCAGATTTGTTTTGTGCAGCACATGTGGTTTTAAAACATTTTAAAATCTGAATACCTTTTGACTGGTGTAGCCTCTTCAGTTCTCTACAGGCTGCACCACTCTCTGCTGCTTCACGCATTTATGTTTTCCACTTTGATCTTTGAAAGCCTTTGCATAGAGGCCCCTGCTAATGCTAATCTACAGTGATCAGATCTCACTTCCACATTGCGGCAGTTAGCCTCGATTGCCATTAGATATTAGTCTGTAGCTAACTTGATTTTTTAAATTATCCTTCTCATTCTTGGAGTAATTTGCTAATGAGTATATAAAAATGTTATTTTCTTTGTTTTTTTTTATTGCCTTTCCATTGGATTCCAACTGTGGCAACTTTAGATTCCAACTGTGGCAACTTTAGATTTTCTAAAAATTATTTTTATTTAGCCACATTGTTTACCTCCTTCTGCAAGATAGATACCTTTATCCCTAGATAATTGGAGGTAATGTAGCTGATCGAATGTTATCAACTCCTCCTATGGAGCCAGTAAGAGGTCCAGGCTAAATCTGAACACAGGTCCACCTGTCTTCGGAGCCTGTTCTCCTTCAGCACCTCTTTGCTTCTCGTCATCACTTTGTGAGCACTGTGATCACTTCTTCCAGCACTGACAGCTACTTTTAGATTTCCAACCAATTCCTTCCCATTAGCAAGAATCAGACACATTGTTCACAGAGCCTTCAAAAAAGATGGGTAAACTATGGTTATCTCAGTTGATTTCAGAGGAGATATTTTGGAAGTAAATATATTTTGTTTTTTCGAGACATTAAAAAAATAATTTTCTCCTTCTCTCTCCATCTGCCCTAAAAGAGGAGGAGCTTACATATGGGTCAAGGACATAACTTGCCAGGTGCCAAGTTACTCTAAATGCCGTTGGACTGTGACACATGTTCCTGCAGCTCTCTTCTGCATTGTCTTCCCTCTTGGCCCTTCCTTTGTGCTTTGCTTTCTTCCTGTCATGTCACTGGAATAATAAAATGGAGACTGGATGCGTTTTCAGACCTCCCTGACTTTGAAAGGCAATGTGGAACAGAGTGTTGGCCCACCTTTGATGTGAGCCTTAAGATAAAGCAGTAAAAGGAGTTTTTGAGGCTTTCACGTGAGTCCAGCATACTCCATCAGAGTGAGAGACGAGATCATACACAATAAAGAGTGCCTTTGCCTGAAATGCACCTCAGGATTTGAGCATGGCAGCTGGCTAGGAAGCGGCCTTCAGGATGCTGGCCATATGTCTGTCTTCAGAGATGGATCTAAAAACACATTCCATTTCCTGGACTCTAAATCATGGTTGATTTGCTTGCTATAAAAAATTCATTTTGTCTTATTGTTTTAGATTTTCTACTCTGCATTTTTAATTTCTATTACCAAATAATAAGGTTACTCCACCATAATTCCAATGTGTCCTAATTGTGTTATTGAGCGTAATTTTCTGATTTGCTATGCTGGCATTGCTATAAATTCTGAGAGACATCGAATGTTTCTTTTATTTCCCCTTAATTGCGTCTTACATATTTTTCTTTTCTTTTTTTAAATTATAGTGGTGAGGCATACTGACTATTTACTTTCATGATAAATTTCTATCTCAAAAAATTAGACTTCTTTCAATGCAAGTTTTATGTTTTTTATGTTAATCTGTATCTAATAAATTTAGGATAAAATTCCCCTCACTGTCTTAATTGACTGCCTATAGTGTACGAAACAGTTTGGCTTTGGAAATAATTGTTGTATATATATAAAACTAGATTTTTCTTATTGTAGAAGACTCCTGATTTTAATTTCTGTATCTTTCTACTTTAAATTCATCAAAGATAAGTGTCTCTCTGAAAAAACTGTAACAGCACTGTCCAGTAGAATTTTCTACAGTGATGGAAATGTTCCATAGCTATGATGTTCAATATGGTAACCACCAACCATGTGTGGGTATTAAGCAGTTGGATTGTGGCCCATGCAACTAAAAAACCAAATTTTTAACTTAAAATTTTAACTAATTTAAATTTAAATAGCCATATGTAGCATGATTAGACAGCACTGACTAGAACATGCCTTCTAAAGTTGGTTTTGATAGAAGAAATAAGACCTTGTGTTTGATAGATCAGTAGGGTGACTATACAGTAATCTATTTGTAATAATCTATTGTATATGGCAGGATAGCTAGAAGAGAATAATTTGAATGTTTCTGGCATAATATTTAAGGTGATAGATATTCCAATCACACTGATTTGATCATTGGAAATTATATAAATGTATTCAATTATCACATGTACCTCTAATAACTTTATTATTGGAAATATGTACATCTACTGCATAGCAATGAAAAAAGTAAGTTTTTTAAATGTATGCCTTCTATTTCACTCCTTCACATTTCAAACTTGATACATCAACAAAATATTAACACTTTATTACCCTTGAGCTTGTGTGCACAATGGAAGTAAAAATGTAATATTCCTTGACATTAAAGGCCGCAGTCTAAAAGACCAAGTTCAGATCTGAATAGGTTCTTTTGTTTCTCTGTATCCCCAAGAACAACTGAATTTAAAAACATGAATAACTTCGTTTCAAAGTTGAGTGATACAATCATGGTTTCAACTTTTCTATCAAACCAGCATTATTTTACTCTTGTGCATGATGTACCAGAAAGAATATTGGCTTAGCGTTGTAAGATTCATGTTCCATTTACAGCTCTCTCATCTAGTAACTAGGTGACCTTGGCCAGGTCACTTACCTCAGTTTAAGTTTCCTTATCTATAACGTAGAGATAATGAGCCCTATCCTACCAGACTTAGATGCTTGGTGAACCATTAAATGTTAAATAAATATAAAGTATTATTAATATTGTTTACAATGACTATTGTAATTATTAAATCAATCTGTCTGGGAGCTTTAAGGCTCTTAGTTCAAAGCTACTAGATTTTTTTTTTTTTTTTTGGCTGGTATTTCTCAAACTATCTGTGGGGACAACCAAGTTTTTGAATTTCCAATTAGTTGTGGACCAATACCAACATATTAGAAATGAATTACTTGAAAAATTAAATAAGAAATAATGTTTTTAGATTTAATAGACATAAAATTGTTGTTAAATTGCTATAAAAGTTGCCAAAACTATATTCTGGGTTTTTGAGCTTACTACACCGCAACCACTAACAGCTTGTAGATTAGCACCAGTACACAAAACTCACTGTGAGCAGCATCGTTCTAAGCAATCCAGGGCTACATAGTTAATAAAGTATTTAATATAATATATGCATTAACTTACCCATTACATTTAAGCCATCACATTAATTGGTTGGTACAAAAAGTAAGAATTATAGGCGAATTAAGAACTTCTATCCTTAAAAAAAAGTATTTAGCTCAGAATCTTAATGATTTATTTGTGTGGAATTTGTCATTGAGAGGGAGATATATATCCCCATATAATATGAAGAAACGTAAAATCCATAAGATCTGTGGAAGCATGTAGTGATAAATATATAGTCTACTTATTTATCATTTATTTAAAAACACACAATCACACCATATCAAGTAATGTGTTTGTTTACACAGAAATTAATATGCTTTATCATGTACAATTCAAAAGATGAGGCAATTGTTTGTGTAATAGGGCTTAACACAGTTTCTGTTAGTTTATTAAACAGTCTTACCTCCCCTGCATTTTGTAATCCTTCCAAATCTAAATAAGTACTTTCATGATTAAAATTTGTAGCTGGTTTAAAAGCATACATTTTCACTGATTACAATATAGTAAATTAAACATATGTATTTGCCAGCTTCTTGATTTCTTATGAAAAAACTCAGTTCTGATGATAGGACTATACAAATCTTTCTTTTTAATTAAAATTTATGAATTAGACCTCTTTAGAGAAAACTATGTATGTGTTTGATTTGAGTAATTGATTTGTCCCCTCTAATTAAGTGATATGGATATGGACTGGATACGTTTCTTTTCTTAGATCCTCTTAGTTGTCTACCTCCAACCCTCCTTGCATATAGCCCCTTAAAACAGCTGTCGCTCACCAAAAAGAGATGAAGCCAAGAAACAGACTGGGTGGATGTGCTTAGGGCAGTTCGGCCTTCTCAGATTCACTAAGAAGGCTAGGCTGTAGTTGTGCTTTAAGGACCTCAGGTGAACTTCAGCATTTTAAAAATACTTAAAATGGGGGGCTGAGTGTGGTGGCCCATGCCTGTAATCCCAGCACTCTGGGATTTCAGAGGCAGGCAGATAACTTGAACACAGAGGTTACAGACTAGCCTGGGCAACATGGTTAAACCAAACCTGTCTCTACAAAATATACCAAAAATTAGCCGAGTGTGGTGGCGTGTGCCTGTTGTCCAAGCTACTTGGGAGGCTGAGGTGAACTAAGCCCAGGAGGTTGAGGCTGCAGTGAACCAAGATTGCACCACTGCACTCACAGCCTGGGTGACAGAGTGAAATCCTGTCTCAAAAAAGTGAAAATATGTAAAATGTTTTTAGTATGCACAGTTGATTATTTAGAAAGACTGTAATGCTGGTTTTGTTGATTTAATTATTACAATATATTCGGTAAACACTTAATGTAGATGAAAATTGTATTATATGGCAACTACAACTACTATCTACTTATTTGTTCTTTTGCATATCATTATTCACTTACCAAAGGTACTTAAAGGCTATTTGTTTATTTATAAAATATTTCAAACCTGTGAAAAATAGGATAATGAATACCTTTATCTCCATCACTCAGATTTAAGAAATTCTAACATTTTGTCAGATTTGTATTCATTTTTTAAAAACTTATTTATTTTTCCCTTTAAGCTCTGTTGAACTTGATATTCATTATTTTTTTAAACATCACATTTAAAACTTTCTATGTAGGCTCCCTCATTTCTTTCCCTTCTCTTCTTTCCTAGAGACAAGAACTCTCATTCCCGTGTCTGCTTTTATATTTTTACTATTGTGGCTGAGACATCTGGTGGGCTCAGTGCCTTATTTACTCCTTCTGTACATTATTTACTCCTTGGGCATGTGGCCACATGAATAAACTGCATTTCCCAGCCTCCCTTGCAACAAGACATGACTAAATTTAGGGACAATTGCACATAAGTGGAAGTGATGATGCAACTTTAGATAACCTCTTTAAAGATGCTTCCTTTTTCTCACCGGCTGGAAAGTGGTAACTCAAACAGCCTTGGAAGCCACATGTGAAGGCAGAGCCACCCTGCCAGTCAACGTCCTTGGGTAACCTCATGGAGCAAAGTGCCTCTGTCTGCCCTGAAAAGACAAATAACCTTTGGTTTAATTAAAGAAACTTAGTTTATGTAAAATTTATATATCCATAGTTATATAATTATATGCGTTTTTATTATATATATACGTCCATAAACAATTTTATGTAAGTATTTTGCATATTTTAAAACTTTACATAAATGGTCTCTGTAGTATCATTCTGCAACTTCTTTTCACTCAACATTAGATTTTTAAAAGTTACCTATGTTAGTTTATGTGGTTCTAGTTTATTCAATTTAATTGATGTGGTATTCTGTTATTTGAATATACGCTTGACTTTTACATTCCTCTGATGAATTATATTGACACTTTTTTCACATTTTTTACTATTACGAAAAATGCCACAATGGACATCCTTGTACCTGTCTCATTTTTTACTATTATGAAGAATGCTGCAACGGACATCCTTGTACATGTCTCCCTGTGCACATATCTGAGATTTTCTCTAGAGGATATAAATAAAAGTGTAATTGATAGGTTTATGCATCTTCAACTTTAGATTTAGCCTGTTCTGCTACCAATCAAGTTTCTGTGATGTGAATTAGATTTATAAATTGGTATATAAAGAAATGATGTCAGTAAAATCGAGTCACATTTTCTCCAATCTTTTAATGTTTTGTGTCATCAAGTAATAGCAGCTGAATGCAAATTACACTGATGCCACTGCACTTACAAACTGTGGGAGAATACAGTGTTGTACACTGTGCTCACCCACTCATATTCTTCCCCTTGGCTTATATACTGGCTGTTATTGGTTTTTAGCTTTCTTATTTTATTGGTTTTATTCTTATTGTGTTGTTTTAATTCTTATGTCTTATTCCTTCTAAGATTTTTTTCATTTGAATTACCCACAACTTTTTTCTGCTAAGTTGTTTGTTAAGACATATATGAGTATTTACATATACATATATATGTTTTACATCTATGTATCAAACATTTCCTTCATGGTCTGTAATTTGGCTTTTGATAATCTCTTTCCCTATCCTCTCTCTGTTTTATTCTAAGTTTTGCTTTTCATAGTATTCCTTCTTCAACTTAGAACAGATTTTTCTGTATGTTGTGTGATAATTTTAACTTTCCATATGGATAGCAATTGTACCAACAAACTCACTGACGGGCCCATAACTCCCTCACTAGTTTGCAATGCCATTTCTGTCATAATTAAGTTTCCATTTAGGCATGAAACTGCTTCTGTGATCTTTATGCTTTTCATGATCTATCACCGTGTGTATGGCATGCTATTTGGCATTCATATTCTTAAAAGAAGTTATGCTGGGCGCGGTGGCTCATGCCTGTAATCCCAGCACTTTGGGAGGCCCGAGGTGGGTGGATCACGAGGTCAGGAGATCCAGACCATCCTGGCTAACACAGAGAAACCCCGTCTCTACTAAAAATACAAAAAGTTAGCCGGGCGTGGTGGCGGGCGCCTGTAGTCCCAGCTACTCGGGAGGCTGAGGCAGGAGAATGGCGTGAACCCGGGAGGCGGAGCTTGCAGTGAACCGAGATCGCGCTGCTGCACTCCAGCCTGGGCGACAGAGCAGGACTCTGTCTCAAAAAAAAGAAAAAAAGTTATGCTATCTGGGAATGTAAGTTTTCCCAATTTGTCCTTCCTGAAAATTATCTTGCTTAATTATGATCCTTTGCTCTCTGTGTGAAATTTTAGATCAGCTCTCAGGGTCCATGAAAAATCCATTTGGATACTTTCATTAGAATTACATCGAATTTATAGATTAATTGGGCAAGGTTGACATCTTAACAACATTAAATTTCTCTAATATGTGCATGGCATATTTCTCCATTGAATCAGGTCTTCTTTGTCCTCTTTCTTGGTTGTTTTGTGTTGTTGTTCCCTGAACAATAAGATAGTGAAATTCGTTAATAGTTTTTTAATAATCTTTGACAATTTCCTCAAAAATTATTCTCTATATATACTGATAAATTTATTCTTGTATGTTCTTAGGCTAATATGTATTCTTAGGCCCAATATATGTCTTTAGGCTTTTGTGACTACATTTTCAAATTTTTTACAGCTATATGGAATGCTATTGATTTTTATATGTTGCTTTAAAATTTTTTTCTTTTATTAATTCCTGCTGTCATTATTTTATTACTTTTCCTTTTCATTTATTTTTTTGAGACTGAGTTTCGCTCTTGTTGCCCAGGCTGGAGTGCAGTGGCGCAATCTTGGCTCACCGCAACCTCTGCCTCCAGGGTTCAAGTGATTCTCCTGCCTCAGCCTCCCAAGTAGCTGGAATTACAGGCATGTAATTACATTACGCCACTACACCGGCTAATTTTGTATTTTTACTAGAGACGGGGTTTCTCCATGTTGGTCAGGCTGATCTTGAACTCCCGACCTCAGGTGATCTGCCTGCCTCGGCCTTCCAAAGTGCTGGGATTACAGGTGTGAGCCACCGTGCCCGGCCTAGTTTTGCTTTTTAAAAAGTTTACAACACTGTTCTTTCCCTAGCTTCCTGAGTCAACTTAAGGCATTTAAAATCAGGTTTACTTATTTTTAAATAAATGCATTTAAAACTGTACAATTACTCTACAATTATTGTTTTGGTTGTATGTCACAGGGTTTTTTTTTAGTATATTACATTTTTTTCATTTAATTATAAATATTTCATCATTTTCACTTCCATTTAACTTATGAAGAACTTAGGAGTGCATCCTTTAGTTTACAAATGTATATCTATTTTTGCCATTATTGTTGATTTATTATTTAATATACATTGTTATTGTTTTGTCACCTAATAGATGCTCAATTTTTGTAAATGTTCTAAGCATGCAAGAAAAGAATATGTAAACCCATAGGGAGCAGGACTCTATACCTTACATCATGTTGTTAGCTTTATTGTTCAAATCTTCTATATTCTAAATTTTTTGGCTGTTTGTTGTAGTAGTTTCTGATAAAGAGGCATTGCAATCTTCCATAATGACTATAGATTTTGTTAATTTTTGCAATTCTATTTTACATGTTTCATGGCTGTTTTGTTATTGTAACGTGATTATTTTAACATCCAGGTGGCTGTTTTGTGTTACTATTTTGTTATATCATTTTTTTCTATTAATGTTCTATTTTGTATAGCCCTTTATTTATTTTTTATTTATTATATTGCTAAAATAACCTTCCTCTGGTTAGTATTTGCATAGGGTATCTTTATCTTTTCTTGTTAACTGTGTGTACGGTCTTAGTTTAGTGTATTATTAGCAGCCTAGAGTAAGGTTTTGTTGTTTAATCCAATCTAATAATCTTATTTATTATTATTTCTGGTATATTTGTACTGATTTTTACTATCTTATTTTATGTTTTCTCCCTACTTCTTTGTTGTTGCTTTAAAAATTTTTTTCTGTCTTCTCTTGGACCAAAAGTTTTCCATTTTCATACTTTTCCTCTGCTGAGTCATGTATTAGTGATTTTATATATATGTATTACATACAAATTATACTAATTTTATATATGTATTACATACCATACACATATGTATGTTAGTGGTAATCCTTATTCACATAATATTTAACTATAATTTTTTATACGTTTTAAGTTATTTGCCATTTCTATGCTTCTCCAAACATGAAAATATTCTTAGCATGCTTGAGTTATTTACTGACTACACTCTCCCATCCTGTTATGATTGTTATTTTATTTTATTTTATTTTATTTTGAGAGTGATTTTTCCTCTTGTTGCCCAGGCTGTAGTGCCATGGTGCGATCTTGGCTCATTGCAACCTCTGCCTCCGGGTTCAAGTGATTCTTCTGCCTCAGTCTCCCGAGTAGCTGGGATCATAGGTGTCCACCACCATGCCCGGCTAATTTTTTGTATTTTTGGTAGAGATGGGTTTTCAAAAGTAGTGTTTTTTTTTTTACAGTCAATACTAATATTAATTAACTTTATTTTTATTAATTTTTGAGCGTATCATTTAAAAAATATAACTTGCATCCCTGCTGGTTTTATTTGTTGCTGAAGGACATTCTTTGTTAGTTCTTTTAGTGAGAATCCATGGATAAAAATCTCAGTCTTTGTATATTTGAAAATGTATTTTAACCCAAATAATAGTTTAACTGGATATTAAATTTTAGGTTCATAATTATATTTCCTCATTGCTATACAGGTATTACTTCATTGCTTTTTGGCACCTATTATCGCAGAGGAGAGGCCCGCAGGAGGACAAAATGTGTTCTTTTTCTCTCTGGTAGCTTCTAATATTTTCTCTTTATTCTTGTTTTTAAAATTTAAGCTTACTGAGGTATAGTTTATATAGAATGAAATTTACTGTTTAATGTGTACAGCTTGATAATGTGATAATATAGAACATTTCCATTGACCCAAAAATTATTTTATGCTCCCTGTTATTTAATCCCTCTTCTACCTCCGATCTGTTACAATGATCTGATTACCATCTCTGTGGATTTACCTTTTTCAGAATGTTATATAAATGGAATCATACAGAACTCAGCGTTTGACTTCTGTCTCTTAGCATGATGCTTTGGAGGTTTATCCATATTCTTACATGTATTGGTACTTTGTGCCATCCTACTGCTGAGTTGTATTTCATTGTATGAATGTACCACAATTTGTTTACCCATTCATTATTCACTAGTTGATGGACATTTGAGTTTTATCCAGTTTGGAGGCTATTATAAATAGACTCACTACAAACATTCTCCTACAGGAGTTTGTGTAAACATGTTTTTATTTCTCTGGAGCCAGTATTTTGGAATGTGATTGCTGAATCATACAAGAAATGCTTGTTTTACTGTATAAGAAATTGCAAAGATGTTTTCCAAAGTGGTTGTCCAATTTTACATTGCTATCAATGATGTAGGAGGGTTCTAGTTAGGTATGCTAGTAGTGTGCAGTTGTATTTTATTGTATTTATTTATTTATTTATTTATTTATTTATTTATTTATTTTTGAGGCAGAGTCTCACTCTGTCGCCCAGGCTGGAGTGCAGTGGGGCAATCTTGGCTCACTGCAACCTCTGCTTCCCAGGCTCAAGTGATTCTTCTGTTTCAGCCTCCCAAGTAGCTGGTATTACAGGCATGCATCACCATGCCTGGTTAATTTTTGTATTTTTTGTAGAGACAGGGTTTCGCAATGTTGGCCAGGCTGTTCTGGAACTCCTAGCCTTAAGTGATCCACCTGCCCTGGCCTACCAAAATGCTGGGATTATAGGTGTGAGTCACTGTGCCTGGCCTCTATTTTTAATTTTTATAAGTTCTATAATTGTCACATATATCTATTTCTTCTTTTATTTTTGTATCCTTTATTTTTTCTCCTTTTGTTTAAAATTTTTCATTTTTGAAACTTTACCTTCATATCAATTAACTTACTAAGAATTTATTTTAATATCTTTTTTAGACTGTTCTCTAATTTCATCTGAGATCAGTTCATCTGATTTTTTATTTTATTGAGTGTTGCTGTTGGCTACACACACACACACACACACACACACACACACAAATATGTATTTTGAAGTTTCACTTTACGTTTCTCTCTTACTCTCTCAACCTCTGTGTTCACATCCGCTTGTCTGGTGGTTGTATGGTCGCCTCTGCTCAGATCCCCTGGCTCCCAGGCCAAAATCAGATATCGTATGAGTTTGGAGTCTTTGGTACACAAATATTGACTTGGTAATATTGCAGATTTGTTTATCAAGCCAGCTGGTGTCTTGCTTTGCGTCATATTCAAGGAACTGTGCCTATTTTTCTCCCTGCCTGAGCCGAAAGCTTCAAATGAAGTATGAACAAAGCAGCAGATACAACAATGCTTTGTTATTCCCTTTTAGGAGGTGAGTTCCACCTCAGGATTTAGCTTTGGGCAATGGATGTAGTTTCAGCAATGGATGTAGTTTCGGTCTTCTATCTTGCATGGTATATTTTCTGGCCCTGTTAGCCTTCAAAAACCAAATTCCAGCCACCAGTGCCTATTCTTGGGTTCAGAATCTAGCAGAGGTTGTGGCATTTCTCTTCTGGTTCTTATCCATGGATATTTATCTTGTGTTTTGGTCTGACTAGGTCTTTTTGGTTTTCTTTCTTAATGTTTTTATCTATTACATATACATTTTTGGTGCCGTATGTTGCAATGAACACCTATATTTAGTGTCATCTTAACTATAAATCTCTCAACACTCTTTTAAAGCCTAAAACTTCACGCTTTCTCTGCACCAGAAGGATGAGATGAGAAAGGAAGCACACTTAGAAAGATTCTCTGCATAAACTACACTTTTCACTTGTATAAGAAGTTCTTCTGTCCAACTTTTGTGTGGAAAGGAAATCATAAATTGGGTAGAAATGTAAGGTTCCATAATCTAGAAAGCTTCATTATTTCTTATAAGCAAAAGTTCATTTTATGGCATCCTAATTGTGGCCATTATTGTGTGGCTCTGGAAATTCTAAAAATGTCAAGTACATCCATACAAATTATACTCTATGTCTGGATGCAGTGGCTCACACCTATAATCCCAGCACTTTGGGAGGCCGGGGCGGGAGGATCGCTTGAGCTCAGAAGTTTGACATCAGCCTGGGCAACACAGCAAGACCTTGTCTCTACTAAAAATTAAAAAGTTAGCTGGGTGTGGTGATGTGTGCCTGTAGTTCCAGCTACTTAAGAAGCTGAGGTAGTAGAATTACTCGAGTCCTGGAGGTCAAGGCTGTAATAAGCCATGACCGCACCACTGCACTCCAGCCTGGCTGACAGAGTGAGGCCCTGTCCCAAAAAATAAAGTAAATTATACTCTAAAGTTAAAAAACAATATGACTGTCCAGTCCTTAGAGTTATCTGCCATAACTTTCCATAGTACTGTTGAATGGCATGGTAGTTGCCTTCTATCTTTTAATAGTTTTATTTGTAGTTCACTTCAAATATTTGTCCTTTTTTTAAAAGTTTTAGCTTTCTCCTTATTCCTTTATTAATTATAAAAGTAAGTGCTTTAACTGTAAGTACATACATAAAAGTAAGCAGCCCTCTATATTAACCAAGTTTACTATCAATTAGAAAATTAATGTCACTTTATCTATTTCCTTGTTTGTAAAAGAAGCCATCTTTGTTTTCTATTGCTGCCTCTTCTGCCAGATGCCTATTGACTTCAATATGGATGGCATCGTGTTCGAGAGGCCAAAGAGGAGACCTGGAACCAGCAAATGAGACATAGGGCTTACTGAGAGGACTTACATACAGGGAAGTGCAGTGGTGGTGGGCTGGATGGGAGAATTGCAACCAATTGTAAAAAGCATGCAGTTTATATTGCACTTTCACTTAGCACCCTCCCCCTAGCAACCTCCACTAGGAAACCTTCCTTTAACCCAAAACAAAGGGCCTTGATCCTCAGTATGGCCTGTGCTCCATGGAATGGACTGGGGGTTCAGATGTTCTTCATAGAATAAGGAATAAATTTTCAGGTTGGCCACTCCTGGATTCCTTAGCTTGAAACTTGGAACACACCCTCTTCTTAGATTGTAAGGTCATTCTCAGGGTAAGCTTAAGTTAAGCTATTGTTGACAGGTGCATCTGCTATATATTGCCGTAACAAACTGCCACAGACTTACTGGCTTAAAACAATACAAATTTATTATCTTACAGTTCTGGAAATTAGAAGTCCAAAGTGGGTCTCTTTGGGTTGAAATCAAGGTGTTGGCAGTACTGCATGACTTCAGGAGGCTCTGGGGAGAATCTGTTTCCTTGCCTTTTCCAGCTTCTAGAGACTGCCTTCTTTGCTTCTCTCATGACCCTTGCCCCCATATTCAAAACCAGCACCATAGCATCTTCAACTCTTTCTCTGGCTCTGACCCATTTGCCTCCCTCTTCCACTTTCAAGCACTCTTGTGATTACATTGGGCCCACTTGGATAATCCAGGGTACGTGCCACATCACAGGTTCATCTGATTAGCAACCTTAATTTTCCTTTGCGATGTGACCTAACATATTTACAGGTTTTTGGAGATTAGGATGTGGGCATCTGTGATATATATCTTCTGTCTACTGCAGAAGATATTATCACTCCAAGTGAGAGGAAAAAAGTGATTATAAATGATATTGAAATAAGTGGCTAGACACTTGGAAAATTAGGGCTATCTACCTTATTCTTAACAACATAATCCAAATAGCTGGATCAAAAGCTTAAGTTTTATTAAACAAAATTATAAATGTATAAGAAGAAAATGTGGCTGAATAAGGTAGACTTTTAAAAGAATATCATGAAAATTAGAAGCTACTAAATGAATAATTCTAAAGTTACTACATAAAGATTTGTACGAAAAATAATCTCAAACATAGTAAACAATAATCAGTAAACCACAAACTAGAAAAAAAATTGCCAAACATCTGCTAAACAAAGGACCAGTATCCATAATAAACAAAGAGCTCTTAAAATCAATAGTAAAAAGGCACCGAAACCAGTAGAAGAATAGAAGTGAATGAAGACAGTTGCAGAAGTATAAATGAATATCAAACATACACTTTTTTAAACTTTTGCTTTGAGCATGTTTGATTTTATAATTCAGAAACAAATTTTTAATGTAGATTTCAGAGTAGGTAACTTATAATTGTCCTTCCTGGTCTATCAAGGATTCTAAATTTTATAAGTATTCTATGAGATTCCTATTTGTACCAACATAAGAAGATAGTATATACCTACTGAATAACGTATAACAATTTTGACTCCATAAATAATCACAAGTATTTACATCTTGCTAAATTCATATAACTAAATTTTTATTGAATACATTAAAATATAGAAACAAAGGCCGGGCGCAGTGGCTCACACCTGTAATCCCAGCACTTCAGGAGGCCAAGGCAGGTGGATTCAGGAGATCGAGCCCATGGTGAAATCCCATCTCTACTAAAAATACAAAAAAAAAAATTAGCCTGGTGTGGTGGCGGGTGCCTGTAGTCCCAGCTACTTGGGAGGCTGAGGCAAGAGAGTGGCATGAACCCGGGAGGCAGAGCTTGCAATGAGCTGAGATCGCGCCATTGCAATCCAGCCTGGGTGACAGAGCGAGACTCTGTCTCAAAAAAAAAAAAAAAAAAAAAAAAGAAAAGAAAAAATATCACAATGATTACTTTCTAATAGTAATTTAGAAGGTAGCCTAATTACCATATATTAACATTTTGAACTGTAAACTAAGATTAGTGTGAGGATTCCTTATACTTTTAGAAAACTACTTAAAATTAAAAAGCTTTTTTCTATCTTAACTAGTCATTGAGAATATTATCACAATGGTTTGGTAGGCATTCAAGAATTACAATTTAGTAAAGTGTTTTAATTAAATTCTATCTTAATTACAATTTGCTTTATTTTATTGCAGTGGCAAAATGCAAATGTTTCTCATAGGAACTTTCATATTCAAATTCAAAAATATTCTCAAATCCAGTGGGATTTATTATAAACATTAATCTTTCCTTATTTTTAGGTGGGTGTGGCCAAAGTAGGAGCTATTTATATACTACTATGCATTTATGGGAGTCTTTTGTTTTATTACTCTTATTAAGCTAAATGCTGTCATGAAAATGATACTGTTTTTACCCAAGGCAGACAAAAGTTTCATTTCAGATAAGGAATATATTCTTGAAAGGAACTACTACAGTTCCCAAACAGAGAGAATGATTTAAAATGATAATGCAAAATAATTTTACTTTCATAATCCAGTATTGCTCTTTTAGCTTTAACATTTTCGTTTAAATTCTTGAACAAAATTCATTTGATACACTTGTTATGTAGATGTTCTTTTCCCTGGAGGATTTTTCAGAATATTACATCAGCTTGTGTTTTCCAAGTTCCCATATCTGAGAATTTGAATAGAGGCTCCCAAATAGATTATAGCTAAGTGAGACCTCATTATCGAAATACATTTGATTTGAATTTATGCCCTAGGATTTGAATCTATTCATCATCATTTCTTTTCTGGCCCCATTTATCAAGGTGGCTCAATATTTTCCACAATTATCATTTTTAGTTAACATAAACAATTTTTTAAAAACACACCTATCATCAGAAATGCAACCAATTCTATCTGCATTAGAACTGTCATTTAAAGAGAATAATTGGTGACTTAAACTATCTATTTAATCATGTATATATTATACAACTTCTTAAAAATACTCAGAATATTTTAATACATAATTTCCCACAACTTCCGAATTAGACATTCACACAAATTAATTACTCTTCTGTAGATGTTCCATAGACCCTGTCTACGCTACAAAGAGATGCACATGTCTGTAGTTTTCAAATTATCAAGGATGATAGGAAAACAGCATGTCACAGATGCAAAACTGTCTTCATCTTTAGGAGCACCCCTCTTTAATTAAGTTTCCAAAAATGTCTAATCACCTAGGTTTTCTTAACAGAACTACCATGTGTTTGCAGGATGATTGAGAGCTTTATGAATTCGTGGTCTTTTGGTCCTGAGATATTTTTTAAGTGAAGATAGATGTTAAATTTTTATTTCCACTGTAGCCTGGATTATAATTTTTTTTTTTTTTTTTGAGACGGAGTCTTGTTCTGTCGCCCAGGCTGGAGTGCAGTCGCGTGATCTCGGCTCACTGCAACCTCCGCCTCTTGGGTTCAAGCGATTCTCCTGCCTCAGCCTCTCGAGTAGCTGGGATTACAGGCACATGCCACCATGCCCGGCTAATTATTATTATTATTATTATTGTATTTTTAGTAGAAACGGGGTTTTACCATGTTAGCCAGGCTGGTCTCGAACTCCTGACCTCAGGTGATCCACCCGCCTCAGCCTCCCATAGTGCTGGGGTTACAGGTGTGAGCCACCACACCCGGCCTCTTTTTTTTGAGAGGAAGTCTTGCTCTGTCACCCAGGCTGGCGTGCACTGGTGAGATCTTCGCTCACTGCAACTCCGCCTTCCAGGTTCAAGTGATTCTCCTGCCACAACCTCCTGAGTAGCTGGGATTACAGGCGCACACCATCACACCCGGCTAATTTTTGTATTTTTAGTAGAGAAAGGGTTTCACCATGTTGGTCAGGCTGGTCTCGAACTCCTGACCTCAGGTGATCCACCCGCCTCAGCCTCCCAAACTGCTGGGATTACAGGCGTGAGCCACCACGCCCAGCCGGATTATAATATTTTAGATTTTTTCTATTAAATAAAAGTAGAGTGTATGAGTGTGTGTGTTAACTAGGATTTGCGTCTAGGGGCAAAATGCAGAAGTTCACACAAATTTTGGTTTTTCAAACTGTGAGTTAGAAAAGAGTAGTGATTTATTTATTAAAAGTATATTTGAAATATGGTTTTCCAGTGAAAATTGCAAAACATGGAAAATATTTCCCATTTGTCCTGAGTTGATGCTATGACTCCTGGCCAATATTGAGTGATTTGAAGATGCATGTTGTGAACATCATTTGGCCATGTTATAGGAAGAAGAAACTTAATTTATCCATAGATTTTTATAACTCACCAAAGTTCACTTTAGTAATGCCCTCCCTTTTGTTCTGATATTTTTTAAGACTTTATCTTATTCAAAAAATTGCTCCACCAGCTTTTCTTCACGAGGTACGACTGAGGAGGGAAAGATTCCCTTGGGATACAGTCTCCATTGGGGTATGAGGAGCATTGGGTAATCTCAGTCTTCCTGTGTACTGGTGTGGACCCTCAGGATTTGGGCTGAGGACCTGCTAATTTTGCTGGAACTGATCTGCAATTTTGTTAGATTGGGTGTTCGCTTTCCTAGCCTTAGAAAGATTGTTGGTCTCATACAATTTTTGAAAGAACCAACATGAGAGGTTTTTTGTTTTTTTTTTTTTTTTGAAGTGAGGTCTTGCTCTGTCACCTAGGCTGGAGTGCAGTGGTGCAATCACAGCACACCGCAGCCTCCACCTTCTGGGCTCAGGTGATCCTTCCATCTCAGCCTCCCGAGTAGCTGGGACCACAGGCGTGCACCACCACACCCAGCAAATTTTTCCTATTTTTTGTAGAGACAGGGTCTTACTATGTTGCCTAGGCTGGTCTCAAACTACTGGCCTCAAGTGATCCCTCTGCCTTGGCCTCCCAAAGTGTTGGCATTATAGGCATGAACCACCAAGCCCGGCAGTACATAAGACTTTTAAAAGAACAGTTACTCTTATGGCCCTGCTAAGAGTTAGGAGTGTTTGGTAATAAAGAGTCTGAATTTAAACAGGGAAAAAGATTTGTTTTATTTTTTTCCCAATGAGTTCAGCTGTGGGCATTTTTTATCTATGGAAGATGTAACAGCTCTGTTCTCCCATGAAAGCCATGATGGATCATAAAGTTTTCAAGCCTTGCTCAAAGATCACAAGACAATGGGTGAGGAAATTGGACAATAGGTCATTTCAATACTTTTTTCAACCAGTGTCATATCCTACCAATGCAGAGGGACATAAAGAAATATGATTGAGAAACTGGGGAGCATAAAATTTGCTGGTGCCTTCCACTCAAGGATCATCTCTTTACTGCCCAAATATAGATCAGCCTTTCTCTGGATGTCAAACTATTGCACTTATCACAACTTCACTAACAACAATTATAACTAGAGAATTATATATATAATTATTGGTAAGTCTTTCTCATTAAATGCTATGTTCCTTGAGGACAGGGAACATGACTGTCTTACTGCCACAGACCCAATACCAGGCAGACAGTCGATAATGCATACTTGTTGAATGAATTAATGATAGTAAATTAGGTGGAAGCAAAATCACCCTGCAGTTCCTTCAAGCTATACGTGCATGAAATTGAATTTAACTTGTCTTCTACCCCCATGTCCTTCAAATCTGTTTTTTTCCTGTATTTATTAACACTATTAATAGCATTATAATTTTTTGGTCTTCTAAGTTAGAAAGCTCAGAGCCATACTACATTCGAAGTCTTCCTGAATCTATGTCTAATTGACCTTTAAATATTTTACATTTTGCTTTAGACTGTCTCTAGATTTGTATTCTTCTCTCCCTTTATAATACCATGATCTTAATCTAGCTTTTATCATCTATTATCTGAAGCACTGAAACAGCCACTGAATGTAACTGTTGGCCATTAATTTCCACGCATTTCAATCTATATGATGCCATTGGTAATATCTTCCAAAACATTTGTGTGTGGACACATTTCTGCTTATCATATTTTCATTGATTCTGTATTAACTAAAACATAGTCTTACATCACTTAAAGAGTAGTCCTCAGTGGGAACGATACTGTTCCCTAGGGATATTTGCTAATGTGTAGGGACATTCTTGGTTGTCTCAGAGATTAGAAGTACTACTGGCTTTTATTGGGCAGGGGCTGGGAAAGTTAGATCCTGCAGTGTGTGAACAAAGAGTCTTTCTCAACAAAATATTGTCCACATCCTGCACAACTTTCAAGTGTCTCCCTAGCAATTAATGTAGGTGAAAATCTGTTTCAGCATATAAACAAGAATTTTCTAGAAATGGAAGTATTGTGTAAATTGAGGGAAGCATTTACTTTTCTTTGTTCAGAGTTTTACAAAATTTGTTCACCATTTTGGAGAATCTTACCACTGGCGGTAGATGCTGCTTGGGATATTTGAGTTGCCAAAAATGTACCTGCATTGTGGCTGTCACATTTATGATATGTAACTATAAATAGATGCAAGCATCTGACTGCTTCATGTTTTCTAGTATAGCTGTGCCTGAGCATTGACATACTGAAATAAATACTATTTTATTACAAATTACTTTCCTCTCTTTTCTCTTATACAGATATGATGTTAAATATTATATTGATTGTTTTTGAAACTATGCATAGGTTCGTTTTATTATCCATGAATTTCATTTCAGGGGAGTAATAGGAGCAGATATTTGTTAATAGTAAGAATTGTTGCATTTAAAATTATATGTGATAAAAGATCTTAGATTTATTCACATTATATTCAGGGGAGCAAAGAAAATGGAATTTCTTTATTTTCTCTAGGGCTGATCCTATATTTCCCATAAGCCTTCACTTACTGTGTGGTGGGTAAAAAATTTTATTCTAAATCTGTGGACATAATCTAGTAAAACAATTTTAAATATCCCTTTGGATTAATGCATAGTCACTTAAGGTAGCATGCTTAGTCTCTCAGATTTCTTCTTTCTCCACTGTTCCTCTCCAAGAGTCTCTAAGGTGGGAGGAGAAGGCTGTGCACTTCACACAGCCTTTGGTAGTGAGGAAAGAAGTTCCTCACTCCCTGTGTAATTGACCTCATCCTAGGTAATGCTTGGCTTTAAATGCCATTTATATGCTGCAGATGACCTGTAGACTGATCTCCCATCTCCAATTCTAAATTCTTCTTCTCTAGACTTGTATATCTTTCTCCTAACTTGATATCTCCTCCTGGATTAATTAGCATCTCAAACTTAACACAGACAAGGCAAAACTCTTGATTCCTCTCTGTCTCAAATTCATTTTCTACCAAGCCTTCCATGGCATTAAAGGTCACTGTACCCCATTGCCCACGACAACAACGCAAACCCACAGTCTCCAGTCCCCTCTTTTTTTTTTATGTGAGACGGAGTCTTGCTCTGTCACCCAGGCTGGAGTGCAGTGTCGCCATCGTGGCTCACTGCAACCTCTGCCTTCTGGGCTCAAGCGATTCCCCGCCTCAACCTCCAGAGTAGCTGAGATTACAGACATGGGCCACCATGCTGAGCTAATTTTTGTATTTTCAGTAGAGAAGGGGTTTTGCCATGTTGGCCAGGCTGTTCTTGAACTCCTGACCTCAGGTGATCTGCCTGCCTTGGCAAAGTGCTGGGATTACAGGCAAGAGCTACTGCACCCAGCCTTGTTTTACTTTTTCTAAGTGCTCTTCCCTCTTATGCCCCACCCTTTACCTCCAATCCCTCTGCTGCCTGAAAGCATGAACTGGAAGGAGAGGGAGACATTACCGATGCCTGCCTTCCTCACTCTGCCTGTTTCTTTACTTTCTGCTGTAATCCACGAAGATGCAAAGGGGCAGCTCTCCCAACTTAGCCTTTCTGTCTGGATCAGATCTCCCTCATACAAACTATACAGACTGGCTTTTGAAATATTAAGGGGAGAAACCAAGAAATTTAGTAAATCCTTTTCTGTCTCTTACAAAACCTTACAAAACCTTGCTCTCACAATTACTATCCTCTCGTGAAGGTCAAAAAAAGTCTGCTTTGAGACTCAAAGCAAATCAAAAGCCACTTTACAGTATTTCCTCTTCATTGGTACGATAAATCTCATGAGTTGACTTTGAAATGAGAAGAATACAAAGGAGCATGCTTTTACAGAGACATTACAATGCATTAATTTAATATTTGTAAAATATTATCTCTCCTACATGGATAAAGTACATCATAACTTCATCCCGATCTGCTTTATTATCTTATTCTCATTTCCTAGTATTTTCCATCTGCTCACAAACTCTCTTCTTTTTTTTTTTTCTTTTGTGACTGAGTCTCCCTCTATTACCCAGCCCGGAGTGCATCGGCTCACTGCAACCTCTGCCTCCCGGGTTCAAGTGATTCTTGTGTCTCAGCCTCCCGAGTAGCTGCAACTATAGGTGTGCGCCACCAAACCAGGCTAATTTTTAAATTTTTAGTAGAGATGAGGTTTCACCATGTTGGCCAGGCTGATCTTGAACTTCAGCCTCAAGTGATCCGCCCACCCCAGCCTCCCAAAGTGCTAGAATTACAGGCATGAGCCACCACGCCTGGCCCAAACCCTATTCTCTATACACATAAGTTTCTTACCATTTTCTGAACACTACCTACTCCATGAATTAGCACAGCTGTTTATTTTGCCTAGAATATCCTTATTCAACTTACTCTCCTCTTGGCGAAGTCTTATCCTTTCAAATTTAGCTCAAATGTCACCTTCCAGTGAAGCTTTCTCCTACCAACTTGTATTCTATAATGTCATAGCAATATATAAATATCACCACTGTATCACATTACTGATATATTGTAATTTTTTCTCTTTTTTTTTAGAGACAGGGTTTCACTCTGTTGGCCAGGCCAGAGTGCAGTGGCACAATCATAACTCACTGCAGCCTCAAACTCCTGAGCTCAAGGGATTCTCTTGCTTCAGCCTCCCAAGTGGCTGGGACTACAAGCATGTGCCATTCCACTTGGCTAATTTTTCTTTTTCTTTTTTTTTAGACTGAGTTTCGCTCTTGTCTCCCAGGCTAGAGTGCAACGGCATGATCTTGGCTCACTGCAACCTCCACCTCCGAGGTTCAAGCGATTCTCCTGCCTCAGCCTCCTAGGTAGCTGGGATTACAGGCATGTGCCACCATGCCTGGCTAATTTGTTGTTGTTGTTGTTTTTAGTTTTTTTTTTTGAGACCAAGTTTCGCTCTTGTTGCCCAGGTTGGAGTGCAATGGCAAGATCTCAGCTCACCGCAACCTCTGCCTCCCAGGTTCAAGCGATTTGCCTGCATCAGCCTCCCAAGTAGCTGGGATTACAGGCATGTGCCACCATGCCCGGCTAATTTTGTATTTTTAGTAGAGATGGGGTTTCTCCATGTTGGTCAGGCTGGTCTCAAACTCCCGACCTCAGGTGATACACCCGCCTTGGCCTCCCAAAGTGCTGGGATTACAGGCATGAGCCACTGCACCTGGCCTTGGCTAATTTTCCTAAAAATTTTTTGTAGAGACAGGTGTTGCTATGTTGCCCAGGCTGGTCTCAAACACCTGGCCTCAAGTAATCCTCCCACCTTGGCCTCCCAAAGTGCTGAGATTACAGGCGTGAGCCACTGTACCCAGCCTATAATTATTTCTTTACCACTAGTTTGTTCAGTCCTTTAATAGCAGGGGCACAGTTTCTCCCATCTCTTTGCCAACAGCCCCTAGTATTCTGGTGAAACGTATCTCCTCTGTTATTATTTAATATAGATAGCAGAACAAATTTAAACTTATTTAGGAAAAGGTTACTGAATTCCTGCAATAATGTAATTTTTCCTTTAATTTGCTATGTGAAAATGTGAAAGCAACAAAGAATAATAAGAAAGATAGTTTTATAAAATTACCTCTTTTTTATGCAAACGATAAATAATTCATGTTAGGAAAAAACATCGTGATGAATTTTTAAAAATTCACCATTCTATACAAACTTCAAAAAGAATTATAAACTAATATTTTAAAAGTCTCACCTATTCTATTCTATATTAATAAACAATCATAATGTTTTAGATAAAATATTCCAATTATGCTTCAATGAATGAATATACAAAACTAGATTAAGAAAGGAAAAATCAAGATAATAACTAACTGTACAATTTAAACATCAATTAACAACAAAATAAAAGGTTTTTGTTTTATGAAAAGAGTCAGATAACATGCCCATGGAATTGTATCCTATCTTCTTTCCTTCATTTTCTTCTTTCATAATGAAATAAAAGCAGGACTTTATCACAAGTAGGAAAAAGTACATCAAAACAATGAATGTGAAAGTCATTACTCAAGGGAAGGCTATGTTCTCAAGAGGTTAAAGCAGGAGCTTGGAGACATTGACTTTTCTTTGATGCCCTGTGCTGCTTTGTTCAACCAAAGCATTTTTGCTGTAACCCACACCCATTGTGGTCTTGAGGCTGTTATTTTTTTATTTGAGCTTTAGAATCTGAACATATTGCATCTTTACCTTTGTAAAACTCAGCAACTGTAAGAGGTAGCATTTTCTTTAAAAGACTTGAGAGCATGGCCTGCAAAATATTTAGGTTTTTCACATAGATATATGTAGTAGATTAGATAATGTTCCCCCCACATTTGTGTTCACCCAGAACCTCAAAATGTAACCTTATTTGAAAGGGTCTTTGCAGATGTAATTAGTGAAGGATCCCAAGACCAGATCATACTGGATTAGGATGGGTCTTAAATCCAATGATAGGTGATTTTATAAGAAAAGGTGAATATGCATAAAGACACAGAGAAGAAACCTATGTAAAGAGGAAGGCAGAGATTGGAGTGATGCAGCTACAAGCCAAAGAATGCCATGGATTGCTGAAAGTCACCAGAAGCTGGGAGAGGCAAGCAAGGGTTCTTCCCTAGAACCTCCAGAAAAGACATGGCCTGTTGACACCTTGGTTTTGGAATTCTAGCCTCCAAAACTGTAAGAAAATAAATTTATGTTGTTTTAAGCCACAAGGTTTGTGGTAATGTTACAGCAACCCTAGGAAACTAATATAGTAGAGTAGATCATTCTTAGCCCCTACTTTATCTTAGAAAGCAGAGAGGCTCAGGGATTTTGTAAGGAAGAAGAACTCTTCTTTCTATGAACTTTCCCATCACTGTTCACAGCAATATAGTCCTCTTGTTTTTCCTCCTCTTATTGTTATCTGATATATAGATGACTGTCCCTTGTGAATTATAGAGTCTTTAGAAAACATCCCTGAAGTCATCTTGAACTAGATAATATCTGAGGACTGAATAAGTGGGGTTTCCATAAGTTTTGCTCAACTGTTTTCAGAGATATATAGATGCTACAGTCCATGACTACTGTGTACAGTAGGGTAGGTTGTATACTGCACAACTCTAGGTTGTGCTATAATTGACATTTATATCAGTGTCAATATGCAGAAGAGTCAAACAGTGCACAGTGTGAACAGACATATAGCGGATGTTATTTATAAATATATATTCATCTAAAAGCATTATTGAGTTAATAGCAATTATTTGTTAAATATTTTTCTCCATCATTGGATTTTTAAATTACGACTATGATCTTGTAGGTGGCTATGAATTTCTCAAAAAGATGTCCTTACATAAAAAATATTTGTTGACTTTGCTACCCTAATAAGCCCAGAATCAGGGAGTCCTTTTTATCTGTCCCTATCATTTGTTACCCATATCAATCAGTCCAAAAGCTTTGCCCATTCCTTCTTTATAACATTCCTTAAATACTATCTGCCTTCTGCATAATAACCACTTTACTCCAGGTGTTCAGGACCTCTGGCTAGAATAACTATAATCAGATTCCTATATTAATTTTGTTTTCCATCTCTTGACTCCTGTTTATTCATGACAGAGTTGCAGATTAATCTTTGCAAAAATAATTTTTTTATTTTGTCAGTTCTCTGGTCAGAAACTCTCACTGACTTCCTTTTACTTGTAGAATTAAATCCAAGTTTCTCAGTCTTTCATTCAAACCTCTGTTTACTTATTCTGTCTGATCTCTTTTTTTTTTGCCAGTTCCTATCACTGTTCTTTTGAAGTTGGTGAATTGACTTCACAATAATGTTAAATAGCAGCAGTGAAATTTTGATTTCCCTCTATTGCTTCCCATTTCCATCTTTTGGCCTGTCATCCCTTCAAAGGAAGTTCTAAAAAGAACATACCTGAGTTAAGAAAGAAGACCTGGCTTAAAATTATTTATTCATTTATAGCTTTAGAGAACCCGTTTTATAAAGACATTTGAAAAGAAAACAATGTAATGAAAGTAATTGTTCTTTGTGAGAGCTGATAATATGATATAGTTATTAAAGAAGCAAAAAACTGTCAGTTACATATTTATTAGTAGTAATCAATTATTATTATTATTATTTTTAGAGACAAGGTCTGGCTCTGTTGCCCAGGCTGGAGTTCAGTGGCACAATCATAGCTCACTCAGCCTCACTGTAGCTGGGATTACACGTGTGTGTAACTATGCCCGGCCACATCAATTATTTCATTTGATCACAAAATATAGTGATGACAAAACATTAATTAAAATTAGATTTCAAGGCTGGGCGCGGTGGCTCACGCCTGTAATCCCAGCACTTTGGGAGGCCGAGGCGGGTGTATCACGAGGTCAGGAGATCAAGACCGTCCTGGCTAACACGGAGAAACCCCGTCTCTACTAAAAATACAAAAAATTAGCTGGGTGTGGTGGCAGGCGCCTAGTCCCAGCTACTCAGGAGGCTGAGGCAGAGAATGGCGTGAACCTGGGAGGTGGAGCTTGCGGTGAGCCGAGATCGCGCCACTGCACTCCAGCCTGGGCGACAGAGCCAGACTCCGTCTCAAAAAAAAAAAAAAAAATTAGATTTCAAGAAACTTCCCATCCAAATTGCATATTGTAGCTTAACTTCAAGAACTTATTTTTAGGCCAGGTGTGATGGCTCATACCTGTAATCCTAGCACTTTGGGAGGGTGAGGTGGGAGGATTGCTTCAATCCAGGAGTTCAAGACCAGGCTAACCAACATGGTAAAACCCCATCTAAAAAAAAAAATACAAAAATTGGCTGGGTGCAGTGGCTCACACCTGTAATCCCAGCACTTTGGGAGGCTGAGGCAGACAGATCACAAGGTCAGGAGTTCGAGACCAGCCTGGCCAACATAGTGAAACCCCGTCTCTACTAAAAATACAAAAAAATTAGCTGGGCGTGGTGGTGGACGCCTGTAAACCCAGCTACTTGGGAGGCTGAGGCAAGGAGAATTGCTTGAACCTGGGAGGCAGAGGTTGTAGTGAGCCGAGATCGCACCATTGCACTCCAGCCCGAGTGACAGTGAGAGACTCCGTCTCAAAAACAAAACAAAACAAAACAAAAAAACCCACAAAAATTAGCCCGGTGTGATGGCACATACCTGTAGCCCCAGCTACTAGGGAGGCTGAGGTAGGATGATCACCTGAGCCCGGAAAGTTGAGGTTGCAGTGAGCCATGATCATGCCACTGCACTTCAGCTTGGGCAACAGAGTGAGAGCCCGTCTAAAAAAAACCCTTATTTTAAAAACATTAAAAACATTTTGATTTCTCATCTAATCATAATTTTGAAAGCATTATTGTCACTTTCCAATGATCATTATACTAACCAGTAAAATTTCAGTCTTTTCCTTTTACATCTCAGATGAAAACAGGTCTTCACATTAAAAAATATTTGCAGTCCTTCTAGCTGAAGTTTTTTCTTTCTTTTTTTTTTTTTTATCAGGCAGCATCCTGAGCCAGAGTAGGCTCAGAGAGACTCCAGGCTAATTGAGTATTAATTAATATACTGTTGCTAATAATCCATACTTTCTATATTAATAGTGAGGTTTATTATATATGAAATGTTACTCATAGTAGATATCATTCATTACTTAATAAATGAAACTTCACACTTACAAAATTGACAAAATAGGGAGCTAACACATTATCTGAAGTTAAGATATTTGCTGGAGGAATACAACATGTATTAGTCACCTATCTGTTCAGGTCCATTAACATATTTTATTTTATTTATTATTTTTTAATATTTTTAATTTTTAACATTTAAAAAGTATAAAAGGTAGGAGAATTCTGTGAAGAACCTGGACATACTCAGGCAAAACAGGATTCTGCAATAGAAAGAAATAATGAAAGAGCAGATCATGGAGTAGAGAAGGCATTGCTAAGGTCTGCCCAAATGTTCAAAAACCGAAGGCAAAAATTGCTGATCACTAGGTGCCTTGCTCATCTGGAATGCTATTATCTGACGATAGCCAGCAAACCACAATAATGATCACCATAGCAATCTTTTCCTTCTTGAAAGCTCTGGACTCAGCCAAATGGAGAATTTGTTTTCCATGGTAATACCTCTCCAATTCTGTAATTAAAATAACAAATATCATTTTGCCAAATTAGCTTTTCAGACAGTTATATAGAATCCCATCTGTCCTTAAAGAGTTGGGTACCTGAATAATCATTTTAATACTGTTTTAATACAATTGCTGGAAAAATAATAATTGTGTTTTGGCTGCAACAATCCACATTTATTAATTGAAGCTGCAATAATACTAGTGACATTGGCAGAGTAGGAAAAAAAAAACCCGTATGTTAGTTAGGCTGGTTCTGAATATCTGTTTTCTTTCCTTGTTAGTGTTTATCCACTTGGAGCTGAATGAAGCATAAAGGCCAAATGAGAATCTGGCAGTTATTCAACCAGAAAATGTCAACAAATCAGGAAGTTTTCATCTAGAAAACTTTGCCCAGAAATAGATGTTAGAAATAATGGCAAAAAATAAAGGTTAGAAAAAGCATGAAATGAGTTTGGACATCAAAAATTGACATGTACACCTATATACATTGTTTTATTCCTTGTGAAAATGTCGGGAATGTCATCATTTATTATTGGCTACATGTTAACAACTCAGGGTAACCTATCACAGTAGCAGAGATGAAAAGTACTCACGCTAGACTTAGGAGGTGGAAGTAATGGTCAGGAAAGTAGTGTATAAAAATGGTGAAAGAAAACCAACCACGGGAATGAGGGGTGGGTAAGAGACAAATAAGAAACTCTCCCTTGCAAACTACATATGACCCCAAGTCTATGCGAAACAACATTCCCATATATTCTCTGACCAGGGTTGCACCAAAAATGGGCCCATTGAAGACCAGTAAGAAAAAAATTACCAACTTCAGCTACTATTTTGCAATAATGCATGTTATATGGCGTAAATCTGAACTAAGCGTGCATCTGCTCACACAGCCTTAAAGCATATAAAATCCATAATAATATTACCATTCCACAACAAAAACATGGCCTGGCACAGTGGCTAACACCTGTAATCCTAGCACTTTAGGGCTGAGGTGGGAGGATCTCTTGAGCTCAGGAGTTCAAGACCAGCCTGGGCAACAAAGTGAGACCCTGTCTCTACAAAAAAATTTAAAAAATTAGCCAGACATGGTGGCATGCACCTGTAATCCCAGCTACACAGGAGGCTGAGGCAGGAGGATCACTTGAGCCCAGGACGTCAAGGCTACAATTAGCTATGTTTGTACTACTGTACTCCAGCCTGGGTGAGAGAAAGAGACCCTGTCTCAAAAACAAAAACAAAAACAAACACAAAAACAAAAACAAAAACGTGACAACTACCACCAATTCTAAATTGGATGTAATGCAGTTATTGAGCATCTTAATGAAGTCTATTTCCATAAAATATTACAGTAGCATTTCCTGCATGACAGTGTTGCCTGTATTGGGCAGTTTTATGAAAGTTTTATCTTACTCCCTTTTATGGAAGGCCAGGTTTGGGTGCTAGTTAAGCAGACAGATGGACTACGGGTTAGATTATGCAATGGTTACCTGAAGTAGGAGGAACAGGAGCCAGAGTGAAAGCAAGTGGAGTCTCAGAGAACTGAAAATAAAAACCAAGAAAACCAAATTTGTTATCCTTTTCAAGAGATAATCCTAGGCCAGGAATAGGAGACAGGCCTGGGGACAAAAGTTCAGGGCCACTAGTGTAGGGATCACTTATATGATGGCACTGGTATTCAGGAAGATTCTCTCGTTTTAATTTAAATTATTAATTTTATAGAAAATATGCACATGATAAAAAATTAAACAAGTACATAGAGCTATGAAATGAAATGTGAAGTCCCCCACCCCCGTCTCACTTCTACTTCCACTCTCCAAATCATTGTTACTAGTTTCTTACATATCCTCCCAGGAATTTTCTATCCACATGGAAATATGGAATTTTTACTTTAAAAATTATTATATTTATGATGAAGTTATATTAAAGTGTAAATGTAAGTCAGGTAATACCTCAACAAACAAACAAAACAAAAAACAGAACAAAACAAAAAAAAACCCACGAAAAGTTCCCCAGTAAAAATCTACAAAATAAGCATAGTCCTGAGAATCAAAATCCAAACAAAATGGAGCATTCATTACTAGTCATTTTTTATTATGGTCAATGAAAATTATAGGGAACAAACCAGTTAATTGAAACCAGATAGAAAGACATTGAATATCCTTAAAGCAAACATGCATGTGCCTTTTAAATTCTTTTAAATAACAATGGAATCATGCTGTTAGCTGCTTTTGTACCAAGCTTTATTTTCTTTAACAATATTTTTTTTGGAGAATTCCATATCAGCCTATATAGATTTATCTTAAAGTTCTTGATTACTGAACCATTTCTATTATACAGATTTGCTGTAATTTCTACAACCAGTTCAATATTAGTGAACACTGAGCTAATTGCAATTTTTGCTTTCAAACAATGTTGCAATAAATATTTTTTTTTTGCACATTTGTGTGAGTGTATCTGTATAAGTTCCTTTTAAATGTAATTACTGTATCAATTTTTTTTTTTTTAAGACAGGGTCCTGCTCTGTCACCTGGGCTGGAATGCAGTGGCTGGATCTCGGCTCACTGCAACCTCCACCTCCTGGGCTCAAATGATCCTCCTACCTTGGCCTCCCAAAGTGCTGGGATTACAGGCATGAACCTCTGCGCCCTGCTGGCCTACTGTGTCCATTTTAACACTTAAAATTTTAAATTCTAACAGGCCTGGTGTGGTGGCTCATGCCTGTAATCTCAACACTTGGGAGGCCTAGGTGGGAGGATTTCTTAAACCCAGGAGGTCAAGACCAGCCTAGGCAACATAGTGAGACCCTGTCTCTACAGAAAATAAAAAATTAGCCAGGTATGGTGTTGCATGCCTATGGTCCCAGCTACTCAGGAGGCTAAGGTGGAAGGATTGCTTGAGCCCAGGAGGTTGCAGCTGCAGTGAGCCATGATCACACCACTGCATTCCAGCCTGAGCTGGAGTGAGACCCTGTTTCAAAGAAAAAAAAATTGTCTGGGCCTGGGGTGGCTGATGCCATTAATGCCAGCACTTTTGGTCGCCAAGGTCAGGGGGATGGTTTGAGGCCAGGAATTTGAGACTAGCCTGGGCAACATAGTGAAACCCTCTCTCTACAAAAAATACAAAAATTAGCCAGGCATGGTGGCACATGACTATAGTTCCAGCTACTTGGGAGGCTGAGGTAGGAGAACCACCTGAACCCGGAGAAGTTGAGGCTGCAGTGAGCCGTGATCACACTACTGCACTCCAGCATTGGTGACGGAGTGAGACCTTGTCAATAACAACAAAAAAACTAGATAGATGATAGATGATAGATAGATAGATAGAGAGAGAGAGAGAGAGAGAGAGAGAGATAGAGAGAGAGATAGATATTGACAATTTGTCCTTCAAAGAAATTGTACCAATTTACATCCATTAATGCAGAGGAATGTGCCTGTTTCCCGAAAGTTTCCCCATGACTGGGTATTTCAACTTCCAATTCTTTGCTAATGTCCTAAGTGAGAAAGGTGGTATATCAATTTTTAAAAGTCTTTCGAATTAATTGCAACTGGTTGATTATTTTTTAATAAGATTCTCAGCTATTTTTATTCCTTTTTTAAAATAGAGGAATAAGATAGACCACATCCATCTTCTCTCAAAACCCTCCTATGGTTTTCCATTTTATCCAAAGTAATGTTCATAGTTCTTACTGTGTTCTACAAGACCCTAAAAGACTGGCTCCTGACGTCCTCTCTGACCTTATCTTTCAATCCCACTCCTTTTCCCTCTGCTCCAACTATACTGGTTTTCTCACTATTCATCAAGCATGTCAGACATGTTCATGTCTCAGGTTCTTTGCTTTTGATGTTCCCTCCGCCTGGAATTCTTTTCCCTCTGTAGCAGCGTGGCTCACTCACTTCAGCTCACTGCTTGGTGCCAACTTTTCAGAGAGCTCTTACCTTACCATCCCACTGAAAGTTGCCTATGCCTCCCTCATTCTGTCTCTTCTCACCCACCTTTATTCTTCTTCATAACACTCTACCTGAAATGTTATCCATATATCAGTGGTTGTCAACAGGGGAGAGAGGTATTTGGCAATATCTAAAAATATGTTTGGTTTTCACAAGTGGGGAGGGTGATTGCTACCATGGGCATCTAGTGGGTAGAGACCAGGGATGCTGTTAAACATCCTACAATGCACAGGACAGCCTCTCACACAAAGAATTATCCATTCTTAAATGTCAATACTGCAGAGGTTGAGAAACTCTGCTATACATTCTTATTGGTTTATTGTCTGCCTACACTCTGCCAGCAGTGACGATACCTAAAATATTTAACAACTAAAAGGGGTGTGGGCATTGACCAATAAGAGTAAGCACAAGTCATAAGCAACTAGTATGGCTATACAAGTATTCACCAGCTAACTGTTAGCCTTCCTACTAGAATTAAGACTCATGAAGGAGACTTTTTCTGTGCCTGCCTCATTTCTTAGTGAAGTAAGTATTTTAAATTGATCTACAGGTCTATAGACCATGCCATTTATTTTGTCTATTTGATTGCCTTTTTTCTTATTGATTAGCAAGTCTTATTTGTATATTAAAGAAATTAAGATTTTATTGTCATATGTTGCAAATAATGTTTTCTTCAGGTGGTTTGTTGTATTTTGTCTTTGTAGTAAGATTCTCTTTTTCTTACAGGCACTTAGTCTTACAGGAGATCTTAGTTTTTATGCAGTCAAATGTAAACTATTCCTTAGTGACTTCGGATTTTCAGTCTTCCTGTTAAAAGCCTCCTAGTCTAAGGTTGTAAAAAAAAAATTCTCTGTTTTTTCTTTAAGTTCTCTTATTATTTCATTTTTACAATCAAATATTTACATATCTGGGATTCATGCCCAGTTTTTCAATATTGGTCTGTTGAACAACTGATTTTCTCTCAGTAATTTAAGGAGATATATTTATTAATGCACTGAATTCCTATTTGTTTTTGGGCTTACTTCTGAATGCTTTAGTTTCACAAATCTGCCTGTTCTTTGGCTATTAATAACATTCATTAATATTAAAGCTCTACACATATTAATACCTGATAGAAATATTTTCCCCATATTAATTTTCTTTTTAAGAAATTTTCTGTCTTTATTCACACATTTATTTTTATAGGTGAGCTCTAGTATTATTTTTGCAAATCAAAAAATAAAAGAAGACAACTCTTTGGAATTTTGTTAGGGATTACACTGAATCAACTTATTAAACTTTGGGAGAATTTTCATGTTTATAAGATTGGTCTTTCTATACCAGATCAAAGCATATCTCCATTTATTTAAAGTTTTAAAAATTCCCTAATTTTTTCTCCAAGTAGATTCTCAGTTTTTACTCCTAAGTATTTTAATTATGAAATCTGATTTTGTAAATGGGATGCTTTCTTTCATTTTATTTTCCAACACATTTTTGTCCAGAGGGTTTTTTTTTTCTTTTTTTTTAAACTGGGTACCAGGCACATATGGAATAGAAGTGTGAAACTGATTTAAAAGCACAGAGTTAAGACATCAGTTTACGTTTCTGGCTATATTTGATTTTTTTTTTGGGTCTAGATCTCATCTTACTTCCCAGTTCCCCATTCCAAAACTAAGAATGCCTTATCTTACCATTCAGCCAATCTTGTATCTCAGCATCTTTCCCAGTTAGCCAACTTCCTACTGGCCACCGAAATACTTTGAGACTTGTAAAACAGGCTACATTGTTGTGTTTTGGGTTTTTTTTTTTTTTTTTTTTTTTTTTTTTGAGACGCAGTTTCGCTCTTGTTGCCCAGGCTGGAGTGCGATGGCGTGATCTTGGATCAACGCAACCTCCACCTGCCAGTTGCAAGCGATTCTCCTGTCTCTGCCTCCCGAGTAGCTGGGATTACAGGAATGCGCCACCATGCCCGGCTAATTTTATATTTTTAGTAGAGATGCGGTTTCTCCGTGTTGGTCAGGCTGGTCCCGAACTCCTGACCTCAGGTGATCCACCCACCTTGGCTTCCCAAACTGCTGGGATTACAGGCGTGAGCCACTGCCCCTGGCCAAACCAGGCTACATTGTAAATCTACATACTGATTTCTATGTTTTAATTCATTTTGTTTTCTAATACTTTGAGTTATGTGGATTTTTAAAAAATAAATTAACTCTATTTTTCTGCTCAATTTTTATGCTCCCACGGAATCAACAGAACTCTTATCTAAGTTTTGCAATATACGCAGCTTATACTCAGAGACACAAGAATACAGGGAGTCTGCCGAAACTCTAAAACTGAGCAGATCTGGAAACCACAACTTTTATTTACCAGTTTGGTCTATATCTATTAGCAATCTCATTCTTGTATTTGCAGAAACGTCAATGTCTGCCTACTGTGGCCTCCCCACAAAAAACTATTCATAAAAAGAAGTGAAGAAAGAGAACTGAAAATTATATGAAGGCCTTTAGCATCAGAGGTTTTCTGTTATTGTACTTGGTTTTTCTACCAAGCACTTGTTTTGCAGTCTAAGGAACGCCTATTTATTACTGCTGCAATGATATCCTTTCTTTGTTCAGATCTCTTCAGCACTGTACAGTTATACCATAGTTTGGTTTCAAGTTTATACAGACACACGTTTAGCCTTGGATCTCCAAAACTGACTATGTGCTAGTTTCTTAGGAATTGAAGTAGCTTAGGAACTTCTCACTTCTCACATGTGCTTTAACCAAAACTGCTTATTCTAGATGGCTAGGTTCGTGAGTTGGATGGGTCTTAAGCCCAAAGCACTGAGGGAGACTTCTATTTCAAAACCTTTGATGCCATTTTCCAATTAAAAATCTTGAGCAGAACCACCTCAATCTGTCAGAAATTTTCTAACGACGTTAAACCTCAAAAGGGAAGTTAGTTGTTCAGATCTTCACTCATTTTTTTCTCCAAGTGGCTCCTTCATTAGTATGCAAATTTTCCACACCCTACCCTAGAGGCAAGCTCTGCATACCAAGAAATCTTGACAAACATCAGGTTATGAGACTTCCCCCCAAGAGAACAGGTGCCTAACATCTTACACAACTAAGAGCAAAAGAGAGAAAATCTCCAAGAGGATAGGCTACAGGTACGTAAAGCAGTACATGCTGCCAGCTTGTCACTCAGCGTTCTAAATTCAGCCTCACTTGGAACTCTATTACACATGCAGGCCATCAAAAATCAGAGCAGGCCAGACGGAGATGAGAGTTTCGAGAGAGAGAAATGGAAATCTGTGGAGGTAATTGCCTAAAACTTCTCTTGGTGCTTTCACTTTGTCTTTATGGTGTGTGGGAGGATCAGCCAGGTGTAAAAGATGACAGACAGAAGGGACACTATGAAACTGTAATGGGCCTAGTGCTCAAGTTTTTAAAACAGTCCACATAAGCTCTGTTATGGTTAGAATACAAATGCCACCTTTTTTTAGCATTAACATAATTATATTCTAACTCCACATGTTGTTTTAGGCATCTCATTTACCAACATACTTGGACATCAGATAGGCATAAATTAAAGTATATAATTTGTAGTGCATAAAAATCACAGAAATGCTTATTGATTCCTAAATTAGGATAACATATTTTCACTGGTGCAGTCTTTTTATCAATAAATCGTAATTGAATTTCCAAGTTAGAGCCTGCAGGGCAAATGTGCTCTAGTTTTTTTAGGTTTCCAGAGACACTGAGCCTAAACATGAATATTCCCTCACTAAATGTAACTGGATCACTTTGCAAGAAAGATGCTTCAATTCTCTTAATTTATTCAAATGAATATCATTCATATATTCTAAGTCCAAGATTTTCAACTACTCTGTAAATGTAATTAGCTTTTCTTATAAGCTATATTCCAACCAGTAGAATATTATTGAATATTATTGTTTCTCCTTTAAATGCATTCTCAAATTTCAGTCCTATTTTTAGTACAGTCACACATTAAACCTTTACCTGTGTGTTATAAATAAAGTTTCGGTGCCGCAAAAGAAATAGCACTTGAATATAAAATTTTCTTTTAATTCTCAGCAAGGCAAGGTACTTCTATAGAAGGGTGCACCCTTACAGATGGAGCAATGGTGAGCGCACACTTGGACAAGGGAGGGAAGGGGTTCTTATGCCTGACGCATGTGGCCCCTGCTGCTGTGTCATTCCCCTATTGGCTCGGGTTAGGCCGCACAGGCTAAACTAATTCCAACTGGCTAATTTAAAGACAGTGATGGGGTGCATGGTTTGGCGGGAAAAACGGTTATGCAGAGTAGAGAATGAGTTAGGGCAGAGCAGGTAGCAGGTAATCGGAATGAGTCAAGGTGGGGCAGGTGATTGAAATGAGTCAGGGTGGAGCAGGTAATCAAAAAAGGTTGCTTTATGTGGAAGTTAAGTTTAAAAGTAGAAGGCAAAGAACTGAACATACTGATATATTGATTCTTTGAAAAGAAATTTAGAACTCATATCTAACATGTGGGATAAATAAAAATTAAAAAAAAAATTTAAATGACTATTCCCTTTAGGGAATTTTGCCAACATTTTTTAGAAAATAAAAAACATATGCCAAATACATTAATGGCATAGAAAGCCATTGGAATAATACCAACATTTAAAAAGTAATATTCAGTATTTTAACATTTTGACTAGAAGAAAACAATGGTTGATGCAGTCACTTTGGAATTTTAGTTTTAAATGCCTCTTTTTATGGGAAATATTCAAGGTTAATATATAATATTCTTAAAATTGTGCTTCCATTAATATGGTCTATTTTCATTGTATTTCCTCAAAAACAGACCCTGAAACAAGAGCTTAGGTGCAGATGGTATATTCAGGAGATAATTCCTCATGGCAGGCAAATTGAGGAAACCAAACCAAGATAGAGAAGCAGGGAAAGCCAATAAAAAGTGCATGAATGAGCAAAGTACAGTAGTGGGCAACTGGGGCTTAATTTTGTTGGGATCCCCAGAGAAAGTGTGTATGCCATATATGGAAATAAATGAAGACCAAATGAGAACAGACAAAGCATATATTCAGACCTTGATATAGCAAGAGAGTCAGGCATCATCACTTGTGTTTTGGTAGAGACTCATCACTTGTGTTTGGTAGAGGCAGGCATAGGAGTGGAAAGCTTTATAGTGGTAAAAAGAGAAGGTTTCAGGTATGCCCTGATTTGAAGCTGTTGGCTTAAGAAAGCTATAGGTAGGCTAAACAGATTTGGGGCTTTCTGTGTGATTGATTGGGGTGCATATTTGGCTTTCTCTGGCTGGTCCTAATTTGGAAGCTGGGACAAAAATTAGGGAAGCTGTCAGTTATTAATCGAGTCCTGGCCATTTTGGGCCAATTGTTATAGGGATTATTGCTTGACTTACTGGACTGATTTCTGGAGATAGTGGTCTGACTTCCTACAAATCTGACTTACAGATAATATCCTAGCTTTCTGTAGATATGGTATGATTTCCTAGGGTGCTTGCTACAGATTGTAGGTCAGAGTTCTATTTTCATATATGGTCTGGCCATTGTCTATATATATATATAGAGAGAGAGAGAGAGAGAGTCTCTCAAATGCTTTAAAACTGTCCTGTGGGAGGCTAGAAAGCTTGGGGCATTTATCCATCTACTTCAAACTCATATTGATTGTTGTTGCTTTGAGTGACTTGGGTGGAGCAGACTCCCACAGTTAGTCCCAGAAAAAACCCTAAGGCAGAGAAGAGACACACAACATTTGAGGTGGTAAGCTGTCAGCATGTTGAAACTGTCTCCTACAGGTGACCTATTCATAAGTTGATTACATCTGCACAGACCCTATTTTCTTTTTCTTTTTCTTTTTTTTTTTTTTGAGACAGAGTCTCACTCTGTCACCCAGGTTGGAGTGCAGTGGCACGATCTCAGCTTACTGCACCCTCTGCCTCCCAGGTTCAAGCAATTCTCCTGCCTCAGCCTCCCAAGCAGCTGGGACTACAGGTGCGCGCCACCACGCCCAGCTAATTTTCTTGTAGTTTTAGTAGAGACGGGGGTTTCACCATATTGGCCAGGCTGGTCTTGAACTCCTGACCTCATGATCCACCTGCCCTGACCTCCCAAAGTGCTGGGATTACAGGCATGAGCCACCGTGCCTGGCCTGACCCTATTTTCAAATAAGGACACATTCTGAAACTCCAGGTAGACATGAATTTTGGGGGAACACTATTCAACCCAGTCCAGGAGGTAAGAATTAACTTGCCCAAATATGATTCCCCTGTGGCCTCCAAAAAAAGAAAAGGAATTGACCTTCTACAAAGCTGTATGAAAACTGGCCACAGCCAAACATCGAGGCAGTGAATCCTGGTCAACCATAAGACCTGCCCTTAGGCTCCTGATTATGCCAGGGGAAGGGCTCATGTTTGCTGCAAATATGAAAGCTGAGTTCACAGACTAGGGCTGGAGCCAAAGTTTTGCAATGTCATCTTGTTATAGTATCCTGGTCCCTGATCGCCTGAGAGTAGGAGACAATGCTTCCAAACAGGCAAAAGTCCGCACACCGGGGATTAGGGGCCCTATCCCAGAATGTGACATTAGACCATGCTAGCACTCTGTGTTCCACTTTACAATGCAACAGGGGACTGCATGCTTGTTACTGCTCCTGTCTTCATGAATTTTCCCCAGTAAATTTTGCTCTAGCAGATCTGGTATGTGTACTGACTGGCCATTGGTCCTTTTTTGCATAACAATATCTTATTTTGTTTAATTGCAACATCACTCTCTGAGATAAATATATAGTGATCACTTTTTTTTTTTTTTTTTTTTTTTTTTTTTTGAGATGGAGTCTGGCTCTGTCGCCCAGGCTGGAGTGCAGTGGCGTGACCTCGGCTCACTGCAAGCTCCGCCTCCCGGGTTCACGTCATTCTCCTGCCTCAGCCTCCCGAGTAGCTGGGACTACAGGCGCCTGCCACCACGCCTGGCTAATTTTTTCTATTTTTAGTAGAGATGGGGTTTCACCGTGTTAGCCAGGATGGTCTCGATCTCCTGACCTTGTGATCCACCTGCCTCGGCCTCCCAAAGTGCTGGGATTACAGCTGTGAGCCACCACGCCCGGCCTCATCACTGTTAATATTACTTAACTGAAGCAAACTCTCTTTAGCCGATGAAGCAGAAAAGGGAGTTTTGAAAAAAAGACTATTGGTTAGCTCACAGAAGCATTTGGAGGCCTGGAGAGCTAGACTTGAAGTTAAGCTCCTAGGAACAATTCTGAAAATCACATGGCAAAGTTGGCGCGGAGAGGAAACTGCTGCTTCTCTTGCTGTCCCACAGAGCACTAGGGAAGGTGTTGCCAACTCTCAACTCCCTGCCTGGGCCACATCTGTGCCTGGAACTTGACCTTGAAATCACTGAGAAACTAAACTGCATACAGTGTTGTTGCTACCACCACAAGACGGCAGCATTGTTGTCCACTGTACCAGAAAAATGGATTCTGACTGGAGCCTTCTTCTTGTATGCAAGATTTTAAAACAGTCCACATAAACTCCGTTACTTACCTGTCAAATTCTTACATGTGTGAATCTCACAGGAGAAGTCAAAGTCACTGTCATATTCCTAGGCCCAGCAGTAAGAGAGGCTGAGAATTCAGTTTTCTGCATTCTACTTTGTGGAAGCGGGACTCTAAAGACTGAGGATTTTCCAGTATGGTAAAATTGTTTTCAAAATATGCTGGGTAGTCAGAAAACATGACAAATATCCGTGTCCAATATAGTAAGCAACTTTATTTTACCTGTGAGGCATCTGAAAATCAGGAAATTTCAATAACATGTCTAAAATGTTACACAGCTAGAAAGGGTAGAGTCAGGCTATAAATCCAGGTCTGTCTGACCTTAAATCTCGCATTCTTATTCGTTGCTTTTTTGGTCCAAACCAAAAACATATAGACAGGTATACATCCTCATACATGGAATTTTCAAATAAGAACAGTTCTGTTATTATTACCAGAGTATTGACAGTGTTGTTCTAATGGGAATTCGTAGTGTGCCTCTGCTTTTTGTGCGGGTTTTTTTTTTTTTTTTTTTTTTTTTGGTGAGGGGAGAGGGGAGTCTGCTCATAATCCCTTCTTTATTCTTCTGGTAATAGCAACTCTTCCTTTGGAAAGCCATCCCTCTCCAAATACATATAGACCCAGTGGGACCGTTGTCACAGCATTCTCATTACATCCTTCAGGAGTGGTCATGCAGATTAGGCTGTCTGACCATCAACATCACCCCCTTGGCCATAGTGATTGTCTTGGGGATGGGCATATTACCCAAGCTGGGCCAATAAGAATTCTTCCTGGTACTTTTGCTAAAGTTAGTGTTCTAAGAGACCCTCTGTGTTTGGCTGAATAATCACCTCCCCAAATATGTTGATATCTGAATCCCTAGAACCTGTGAATATGTGACCTTACACCATAAAACAGATTTTTTAGATATGATTAAATTGAGAATCTGGAGATGAACAGATTGTCTTGAATTATCTGGATATTTCATTTGGGGTGTGCTTGATATAATCGTAGGAGTCCTGACAAAAGAGAAATAGGAGATCAGAGTTAGTTGAAGGCAACATGACCATGGAAGCAGAGACAGGAATGATGCTGCCACAAACCAAGAAATGCTGGCAGCCTCTAGACCATGGAGAAGTCAAGAAATAGATTCTCCCCTAGAACCTCCAGAAGAAACCAGCCCTGCCCACATCTCAAGTTTTAGCCCTGTAAAGCTCATTTTGGACTTCTGACTTCTGGAACTTTAAGAGAATAAATTTTTGCTGTTTTAAGTCACTAAGGTTGTGGTCATTTATTATAGCAGCAACAAGAAGACCAATACCTCTTCTTCCCAGAACAGTAAGAGAAAGAGGCACAGAGAGAACAATAAATATGATAATAATTATAGTGATGATACTGTGGTTTGAAACCCTTGATTTAGTTGTGTCTGAGCTAGCACCGTCTCTGCATATTGCAGTTAGTTGGCCTATACATTTCTTTTAAGGGACAAGTAATTTGTATTATATTTCCACTACCTAGAACAAAAAGAGTCTTGACAGCACAAGGTAACTATTTCATTTTCAAAGTTTCCAATTTGTAAAATATAAGGATCATCACCATAAGAGAGGGTGAAAAAAATATATATATATATATATGAGGAAAATGAGAGTATAAAGCAAACAATTTTCTTCTCTCCCTTGCACACAAGTAAAATGGATTAATTGAAAAAAGAATGTTTTCTGAATGCATTAGTACATTCAAACTAAGAACATTCAGATGGAGACAGTATTAGAAATGAAAAATGCTAAAAAGATTTCTAAAGGCAAGAGAAAGTAAAGTCAATGTTTCAGTTAGTACTGAATTGAACTTGCTTATTGTCTTTGGATAAAATAGCAAGCACTTACCTTGTGAATCATTAAGAATCACTGACTTCAAGAGTGAAGTTGGTATCTTGGCCAAATACAAATTTTGTTCTTGGTTTAGGAGAATTCATTTCCCAGAAATATTTGACTGATGTGGAATTTAAAAAGGAGAGTTATGTAGATCTTTAGGTAGCATGATTGATTGCAGCCCAACACATGGTAAATACAGGATACAGTTTTACATTAATAAGTCACTTCAGATAATACAACTTTTATCTAGTTTGGAAGGCATTTATTACTTTAGTTATATGTGCAAAAGCAATTCAAGCAAAGGAACACAGGTACATATTTACTTTGACAAAAAGACGGTTTATTTCTATGTGGGAAGTTTGCATTTATTTTTATTTTGGGGGGCAACATATAGAGAAAGAAAATATTCCAGGTTGAATCAGTGTTGGTAATCAAAAGAATGAAAAATATTACAACTAGATTTACTCTGCCATTTAAACATAGGTAAAAGGTGTTTAAAACTTGAATTCAATAGTGATTTAAATGTTCGTATTAATTTTACTTTAGTGTAATTTAGCTGGTCTGAAGCTATATAACTTTTCATATTTATTGATAGTTTATTATATGCCAGACACTATGCCAAGAACTTTACACACATTATTTCATTTCATTGTCATAGCAACCCAATGGAATAGGTATTGTTTTTATTTTTATTGTATAAATAATAAAATTGGAGCTTTGAGAGATTAAGCATCTTCCCTAGTATCACACAACTAGGAAGTAGAAAAGGTAGGTTACAAATGTGGGCAGTAGGATTCTACAGCTGGTACTTCGGAGCCTACTCCCTAAATCAGTAATACCAGACCAACTCCAGCCTGAAATTACGTATATTACCTTTGTTTCATTTATATCCTTCTGGTGTTTCTGCTGTATGTTCCAGATATATACATCTTTGTGGAAATACATGACTAATGACTGTCTTATGGACCTATAAAAATACTAATTTGTTAAACATCATAAAGGACCTAATATGCCCAAGTAATTATTTTTCATGGAATAATTTTTAAAAATTGGACTACTTACCATTTTTCTATATAATTAATTGAGATTGATTCTAAACTGATATTTATATATCTCCTTCCTCTTAAATATTTGAGTTTCTCAGAGGTGTGTCCAAGGCTTGTTCTCATATTCTACTTACAGAACGCTACCTGCATGATTGCATCTGACTTTATAATTTTAACCACCACTTATATTCAGATAACTTACAACTCTGTTTCAGTAGCCCAAATCTCTCCCCCCAATCCAGTTGCTTAATGATCATCTCTGCTTAAAGATCCACAGACACCTTAAGCATGATTAAACCAGAATTCATTATCCCTTCCCCCTTGACCACATCCTTTTTGATTGTGAACCCCTCTTTTTTTTTTTTTTTTTTTTTGAGAGAGGGTCTTATTCTGTTGCCCAGGTTGGAGTGCAGTAGCCCAGTCTCAGCTCACTGCAGCCTCAACCTCCCAGGCTCAGGCGATACTCCCACCTCAGCCTCCCAAATAGCTGGGATTACAGGTGTGTGCCACCACCCCTAACTATTTTTTTGTATTTTTTATAGAGACGGGGTTTCACCATGTTGTCCAGGCTGGTCTTGAACTCCGGGCCCCAGTGGTCCTCTCACCTTGGCCTCTCAAAGTTCTAGGATTACAGGTGTGAGCCACTGCACCTGGCCTTGTGACCCTCTTAATCCCTTTTTATTTTCTGCATGCCTTGTTCAGCTAGTGCGGCCACTATCCATTATCTAAGCATCTTTGATTTCTCTCCTCTCTTTCACATCTTTCTTACATATCCAATCACTAAATTCTAATAATTCTACCCTCCAAATGTGTCTCTTATTTTTCTATTTTTTTTTTAATCTGAAATGGAAGAAAGTTTAGTAGTTCATATTTTCATTATCTCTATAGTAGCTCTTCTTTTCTGGTTTCCTCTTCTTCACAGACATCCTGCACAGAGATAGGTCTAGAGGATTTTTTACTTCTGACCAGGCAGAATCATCTTGTGTTTGTTGTTGTTTTTAATTTTGAAAGGAGAGCTTTATTTCTCATAAAAGATTGTAGCTGGCAGGGTGGCCATTCTAATAGGCTGGGAAACATGCACAGCCTCCAGGCAAAAACCAACACTTGGAGGGAGGGGAAAAGGGAACGGGAATTCATGCCCGAACTAGGTGGCTGAATATACGTATTCAATAAGTTATTGGACTCATGAATATTTATAAAAGGAGAAACGCACATGCGCAGTTGAGCTTCATTCATCTTCATGGGTAACATGTTTAAAAGATGGCGATGTTAGCATAACTCAAGGGTGGAGTTTTCCGCCCTGTGATGTCAAAAAGTGAGGCAGAGGACATAAAATCCCTTACTACACATTCTCACATTCTTCAAAGACTGGCCAGAACCACTTCTTAGTCTGTGGTCTCTTAAGCAAAAAAGAAGGGCAATCTCAGGAGGTTGTTTGAGATCAGTGGTGCAGCCTTTTGAAAGGGCTGGTTTTTGTTTACCCCTTAGGGAAGAAAAGGCTAATGGTGGTTAGTGAGGGAGATAAGGTATAAGGAGGTGTGTCTGACCTCCAATACTATCATGGCTGAGAACTCAGTTTTCAAGGTTACTCTGGTGTCTTCTTGGCCAAGAGATCGTCTGTTCAGTCTGTTGGGGGGTTAGAATTTTATTTTTATTTCTCATTTTCCCCCTTTGTCTGAGATTTGCTAGAGGCAGCATCTACAGCTAAAATTTATTTTTTCCCATATTGTTGCCAGGGTGGTGTGGCTACCTATCCTGGTTCCAGTCTGTCCCTCAGTGGCCTGGAAGTTCAAGGGACTTAGAGCTAAAAGATTTACAGCAAATTAGACATTCTAGGCTAGAAGGGAATGGAGGTGGACAGGCACTCATGAACCCTTAAAACCTTTTAAGCAACACAGGAGTCAAAAACTAAACCCAAAAGCAGGATTACAAAGTTGACTTATCTATAAAGTCTATGCATTGAGCTACTGTAATCTTGGTTTTAGTTAGATTTGTAGCAATTAGCTATATAAAACATATACATTTTGCTAAAACATTAAAGCTAAGGAATTTAGAGACTTTTGTTGTGCTGCAATGTGTTTTGTGGTCTCTTTAGCAATTTGTCCTAAAGTGGCCAATAAAATATTTTTTGTCATCTCTATTTGCATAAACTGCACAATTAGGAACAATTATACCCAGAAGGCTCTGTCACTGTTGTGAAAAGTAAAAAGTTCCTCTTCAAAGTTTCCCTTTTCGTTAAAGAATAAATAAGTGTTAGAAATAATAGTTTCTTTTAAAAACTAACTTCCTTCAAGCTTCCTTGCTTTTTGCTAATAACTCTTTGCTAAGCCCTGTGTAGCTGTTACATATAGTAAGGGAATAAGTACATTCTATGTCCTTGTACTTCAACCAAGTTATTTATTCTGGCCTATAACCTGCTCAGACGTATCTGAACATGCCCAGGCATTTCCTGGCTTACAGCCTACGCCCCTTCCTTATTTGGAAATGTTATTGTTCTCCTAGTTTCCCATAAACAACCCCCTTCCTTTCCTTGTTCTCTGTCGCACATTTGCCTGTTTAGGAAAGTTTTAAGTTTTTAGCTAATCGGGATCAGTCTAGATTGTGCAGTCCAGCTCCAGCCAATGGAGATAGGACACAGCAGTAAGGACCCAATGCGTCAGGAATAAAAACCTCTGCTTTTCTTTGTTCAAGGTGCTCTCGTGACAATCAGGCTTCCAAAAAGCACCCTTTCTGCAGAAAGTAAAATTGCCTTGCTGAGAAAATTCTTTGAGCGCTAGTTCTTCTTTTTGGCACCAAGGAACAAGCATTTATTTCTAACACTAGGTATCTTGATATCGTCTTGGTAATTCTCTTTTAAGCAAATAGACTAGCTTTTATCAGACCTACCCCCAATGTCAACAACAGCTTTAAAAGAAACTGAATGAAATAAAAAAATTTGGTTTGAAAATATCAGAGAACTAGGCAACTGGGAACTAGGAACCCATCAACCAAGATCTTGGAAAGAAGACACAGAAATTGAGATGATCCTAACAGTCTTTGTTATTTATCCCCTCAAGGAATTTGCTGATTGTGGGTGGTATAGAATGAGGGGATTAGAAATTAAACAGAAAGCCAGGCACGGTGGCTTACGCATGTAATCCTAGCCCTTTGGGAGGCCAAGGCAGGCGGATCACCTGAGGTCAGGAGTCAAGACCAGCCTGACCAACATGGAGAAACCCCATCTCTACTAAAAATACAAAATTAGCTGGGCATGGTGGCGCATGCCTGTAATCCCAGCTACTCAGGAAGCTGAGGCAGGAGAATCACTTGAACCCTGGAGGTGGAGGTTGCAGTGAGCCGAGATCATGTCATTACACTGCAGCCTGGGCAACAAGAGTGAAACTCTGTCTCAAAAAGAAAGAAAGAAAAAAAAGAAATCAAACAGAAAGCATTGACCAAGAGATTCATTAAGCAGAATTTTTATCAGTCTTATGATACTGGGGAGACAAAATTTGGAGTTCAGCATCCATCCAAGGCAAATGACTCTTGTAAACACTCCAGATTTTTTAGTGAAACCTATGGAAGGATAATCCTAGGAGTGGTGTAAACTGAAAATACAGAGCCATTGCAAAGACTAAAACTCAGCTGTTAGGCTGGGCATGGTGGCTCATGCCTGTAATCCCAGCACTTTGGGATGTAGAGGTGGGAGGATTGCCTGAGGCCAGGAGCTTGAGACCAGCCTGGGCAACATATCAAGACCATGTCTCTACAAAAAAATTAAATTAAATTAAGTTTAATTTTTAAAAAAGAAACTTAGCTTTGAATCAGTACCATCACAGAATATATTCAGGTGATCTAGCTCTATTTGACTGCCTACCAGAAAAATAAAAAGTAATCTCCAGAGAAAGAAAACATCATTGAAAGCTTCAAGTTATTACTACAACTTTTCATACACAATGCCCAATATTTAGTAGAAAATTGTAGGCATACCAGGACACAGAATAAATGACCACATCACAAGAAAAAAACAAAAACCGGCCAGTTATGATGCCTCATACCTGTAACCCCAGCACTTTGGGGAGCAGAGGCAGGAGGATCATTTGAGGCCAGGAGTTCAAGACCAGCATGGGCAACATAGGAAGACCCCACCTCTGAAAAAAATAAATTAGCTGAGTATGGTGGCACATGCCCGTGGTCTCAAATAAATAAATATATAAAAAGAAACAGGTGGCCGGGCACAGTGGTTCACGCCTGTAATCCCAACACTTGGGGAGGCCAAGGCGGGCAGATCACAAGGTGAGGAGTTCGAGACCAGCCTGACCAACATGGCGAAACCCCGCCTCTACTAAAAATACAAAATTGGCCGGGCATGGTGGTGTGCACCTGTAATCCCAGCTACTCAGGAGGCTGAGGCAGAAGAATCGCTTGAACCCAGGAGGCAGAGGTTGCAGTGAGCTGAGATTGTGCCACTGAGCAACAGAGTGAGATTCTGTATCAAAACAAACAAACAACAAAAGAAACAGGCAAACAAACACATAGAGATCCACATATTGTGTTTATTGCACATGGGCTTCTTTTATTTTTATTTTTTATTTTTGAGACAAGGTCTTGATCTGTCACACAGGCTGGAGTGCAGTGGTGTGATCATGACTCACTGCAGCCTCTACCTCCTGGGCTCAGGTAATCCTACTGTCTCAGCTTTCAGAGTAGCTGAGATTACAGACACTCATCACCACTCCCAGCTAATTTTTAAATTTTTTTTGTAGAGAGAGGGTCCCACTCTGTTACCTAGGCTGGTCTCACACTTCTGGCCTCAAGGGATCCTCTCACCTTGGCCTCTCAAAGTCTTGGGATTACATATGTGAGCAAATGCACCTGGCCCTATGATCTTTAAAATAACTATCAATTAATATGTTCAAGAAAAAAATATGAAAAGATAAGGAATTTCAATAGAAAACTGGAGTCTATTAAAAATTTTGTGGAAACTGTAGAAGCAAAAATTATAGTAACTCAAACAAGAATTTGGTAAACGGGCTTAATAGCAGATTAAACATGGTTTAAAAGAGAATAAATAAACTGGAAGAAAGGACAGAAAAGAATATCCAGATTGAATTATGGTGAGAAAAAGAGGTTAGACATGCGGAAAACAGCATAAGAAAATTGTGGGACATGGTGACACATTCTGATGTACGTGTAATTTGAGTCCCAGAAGAAAAGGAAAGAGAATAAGCAGAAGCAATATTTGGAGAGATGTTGACCCAAATATTCTAAAAGTTATGGAAGATATCAGGTCACAGAATCTAGAAGGGTTATGAACTCCATTCAGGATAAATTCAAAGAAAACCATATCTAGGAGCATTACAGTCAAACTGCTGAAAACCAAACACAGAGAAAAATCTTAGAAGCACCCAAAAGAAAGAAAAAGTCTTTTTAAGGAAGCAACAATATGACTTCTCAACAGAAATAATGGAAATGACAAACACTAGAATAGCTTCTGTAAACAAATGAAAGCAAATGCCTTAGAATTCCAAACTAGCGAAAATGTCCTTCAAAATTAAAAGAAGATGAATCATAGACCTAAATGTGAAAGTTAAATAAGATTTCTAGATTAAGTTATAAGAAACTGTCTTAATGATCTTGGGATAAGCCATTATTTCTTAAACAAAACATAATAACCAGAACAAACAGACTTTGAAAAATTAGAAAGTCTGTTTTTTAAAATTACATTTAGGAATTTTAAAATTAGACTTTTTAAAAATTAAGTACTTATGTTCAGCCTAAGACATCAAGGAGAAAAAAAAGCCAAAAATCAGAAGAATATGTTCACAATACATATCCTCCAAAAGACAGTTATACACCAGAAAAGCTAAGAATAAAAAACCTTACTATCCCAAACTGTTAAGTGACGATGTGGAGAAACTAGAACTCTCATCCATTGCTGATGGGAATGTAAATTGGTACAACAACTTTGGAAATTGTTCGGCAGTATCTACTAAGGAGTTTACCATGTGACCCGGCAATTTTATTCCTAGTATATTGAGTGCTTGTGTTCACCAAATACATGTACAAGAAAGTTCATAGCAGCTTTATTTATAATCACATACATCTGGGAACAATGATACAGCAATGTGATACTGGAAAAACCAACTGTGGTGTATTGATACAATGTAATATTATTCAGAAAACTACTGCTACATGCTACAAAAATGGACAAATTTCATAGACATAGTGTTGTACAAAAGAAACTAGGCACAAAAGGCTACTGTATAAGCCTGTTTATATGAATGCCAAAAGAAGGCAAAGCGAATTAATGTTTATAGAAGTCAGGATAGTATTCCTTTTGGGGAAGTATTCATTAGAAGAGGCATGAGGGAGCCTTTGATAGTGCTGAAACTATTCCATGATCTGGGTTGTGGTTATGTGAATATGTTCATATGTAAAAATTCACTTAGCTGTAATGAAAGACTTTAAGAAAAACAAAAATTGAGAGAATTAATCAATAGTAGGTATGCAGTAAAAAATAATAAAGGGAATTCTTCAATCAGAAAGAAAATGATTCCAAATGGAAGCATGAAAATTCAGGAAGCAGTGAAGACAGCAACGTAAAAGGTCAAATGTAGGTGAATATTAGCGATATAGAACAATATTATTAATGTGAAATGGCATGTATAATTATAGAATTAGAATACTTGAGGTCAGGTATGGTGGTTCATGCCTGTAATCCTAATCCAACTGGGAAACCTAGGTGAGAGGATCTCTTGCGGCCAGGAGCTGGAGACCAGCCTGGGCAGCAAAGCGAGACACCCATTTCCACAAAAAAAAAAAAAAAAAAAAAAAAATAAACAGAAAGAAAGAAAAAATTAGCCAGACATGGCAGCGTGTCTGTAGTTTTAGCTACTCAGGAGGCTTAAGTGGATTGCTTGAGCTCAGGAGTTTGAGGTTGCAATGAGCTATGATCACACCACTGCACTCCAGCGTGAGTAACAGGGTAAGACTTTGTCTCTGAAAACTAAACCAAACCAAACCAAAAATCCCTTGACAACAATAGCACAAAAAGAGGAAAGGAATAGTTAACAGAGTTAAAGTGAGGTGTTCTAAAGTTCTGTTTTTTTTCAATCATACTAAGTTTTCAAAATCTAGAGCCTTTTACCTTTTATAACATATCTCAATTTATACTAACCACATGTCAAGGTCTCACATGTGACTACTGGCTAACATATTGAACATCCCAGATCTAGAGCAGTGGGTCTCAAGAGAGGACATTTTGTCCCCCAGGGGACATTCATTCATGTCTAATGACATTTTTTATTATTATAATTAGGGGAGGGAGAGTGGTGCTAGTGGTATCTAATGTGTAGAATCCATGAATGGTGCTAAAAATCTTACAATATACACAGAATGGCCCTCCCCAAACCCAAGAAAGAATTATTCAGTCCAAAATGTCACTTGTAACATGGTTGATAAACCCTGCTTTAACATAACCCATGAAATAAGAAAAAGTATATAACCAACAAGCAAATAGTGGGAAGGGGGAAATAAATAGCAACAATCACTTCATTAATTCCAAAGAGTAAAAGAATGGAAAGAAAAAATAAATATAGAACAGGTGGGACAAATAAAAAATAAATTATAATAATACTGGTAAAATTACATTAAATATTAATGGATAAATATTCCAATTACAGACTAAAATTTTTAGATTGAGGCCGGGTGCAGTGGCTTATGCCTGTAATCTCAGCACTTTAGGAGGCCAAGGTGGGTGGATCACCTGAGGTCAGGAGTTTGAGACCAGCCTGGCCAACATGTGAAACCCTGTCTCTACTAAAAATAAAAAAATTAACCAGGGATGGTGGTGCGTGCCTGTAATCCCAGCTACTCAGGAGGCTGGGGCAGGAGAATCACTTGAACCCGGGAGGCAGAGGTTGCAGTGAGCCGAGATCATCCCACTGCACTCCAGCCTGTGCGACAGAGCGAGACTCCATCTGAAAAAAACATGTATTATTAGATTGAGGAAAAGGTTTCTAATTATTTGCTGCAAAGATGAAGGTAAAATGGTTAAAAATTCTAGAACATGCAGATTCTAACCAAAACAAAACTGGTAAAGCTATACTATATCAAAAATATTTTAATGCAAAATGTACTACTAGAAGCAAAAAAAAAAATCATAATGATGCAAGGGTCTTCCATCAGTATGATAAAAATGATTACTTAAAATGCCATATGACCACATGACTTCACTGATATATATTTTTCAGTGTCTCTCCCAATGACCTTGGATAAGGCTCAAACTACAATATGGCCAAAAAGATCCTCTGTGAATCACCTGCTTCATCTCTAACAGCTCATGTCATTTTTTCCTCAAAATTTATGTTTAGGAGTGTTGAAGAACATGCAATTCCTCAAAATCACCACATTATTTTATATTCTCTATGCTTTTGCTTATATTGGTCCCTCTGCCTGGACTGCTTTTCTTTGTGGAAATTATCTGAAAAAGTTCTATTTATCTTTCAGAGATGTATTCTGCTATATCCTATGTAAAGCTTTTCTGATTGACTCCTGCACATAATCTTTCACTCTTCTGCATACCGCTGTACCTCATAAGCATTTTTTAAAAATCATTTTTTGTAATATATTTGCTCCTGTATTCTGCCTTTTCTTCTAGCCAGCAGGAAGTATCAGACAGTCATTAACTTTTACAGAACTCAATTTATTTGTGTTGGTAAATTGCAGTAACCTTAGAGAGATACTTGCTATAAAATTGTCTGAATTGTATTTTGCTGAGAAATATATTTCTTTTAGATTCAGCTAAGATAACTTATAAATCATTTGTCTAATGATTTCAATTAGTATTTTTTAAACTAAAACCTCATTATTTTTTATTCTTCTCTCATTTTATTAATTTTATACTTAAGAATGAAGTCATGCAAGCAGTTAATACAACTAGTTATTCCAGTACAATAACTGAGAAAGAGTGTCTATTTATATTGCTCTTTTGTTATGGATTACTTGACTTTTTTCATAGCATTGTTAGTTTTCTAGACTGATTTAGCCAAATTGTAATTAGTAAATGAATTAACTTGAAAATTTTGCATTTGTATATATTTTTATAAAATGTATGAATCCATACTATTTGAGAATTTATAAAAATTGTTTAAAGCAGAACTATTAACCGGGGTGCCATCATTAATAAAAGCTGCAATGACAAGGTTTGAATTTCTGGATGTGTTTCGGCTGATTCTACAGTTCTTTCTGCTAGACTTGCAAATTAAAATAGCCAAAGTAATTTCTTAGACGAATTGATTTATAAGCAGGCTAATGATTTTTCATGATGTTAAAATAGAGGACTTTCAGATTCATGTTGTAGGAGATTGGTTAAGAATGAAAAATTTGTGTCAAACTGCCTAGCTCTAAATTTAAGCTTTGCCACATTTTGCCTTATATAATCTTGAACAATTTGCTTAACCTCCCTAAGCCATAGTTTTTTTTTTCCATTTGCATAATACAGATAATAATTTATCTATTTCATAGATTATTTTGAGGTTTACATGACAATATAAGTAAGATATTTAGCAGTTTCTGTTACATAGTAAATACTCAAAGATGAGCTAATATAACAGATATAGCTAAGTAAAGTCAATAAAACATATAGTTAATTTAAAGACTATTTTACAACTACCATGTATCTAAGTACTATTTATTTATGTATTTATGTATTTATTTATTTATTTAGTGAGACAGGGTCTTGCTCTGTCGTCCAGGCTGGAGTGCAGTGGTGCGATTACAGGTCACTGCCATCTTGACCTCCTGGGCTCAAGTGATTCTCCCACCTCAGCCTCCTGAGTAGCTAGGACTACAGGTATGTGCCACTACACCTGGCTAATTTTTTTTTTATTTTTAGTGGAGATGAAGTCCCAGTATGTTGCCTCGGCTGGTCGCAAACTCCTGAGCTCAAGTGATCCTGCCACCTCGGCTTCTTAAAGTGCGGGTAGTACTGTAAGCCACTACACTCGATCTTAAGTACTATTAATAAAAGCTACCATATAGTGAGCATTTGTGCTAAATATTTTATATACATTATCTCATTTAAACTTTACAATAACTTTGGGAGTAGTTATAATGTCCTTATTTTATTGACAAGTTAACTGAGGCTCTGAGAGTATATGTCCAAAGTTATATATTTGGTAAGAATATTTTGACATGATCATTTGGAGCAGACATTTTAAGGTCAGGAATATTTTGGTGCAGTCTATAGGAAAAAATCTCTAAACTTTCTACTTTCCCCTGCCAAATCGAAATAGCTTTATTATGCTTATTTCCAAATTTTTTTTAAAAAAGAACATACATTTTGAAAACAACTCAGGCAATATAATAAGATACAAGAATCACTTATAATTTCACCACTCAATGGTAGTCACAGTTAATATATTTGGTAAACATAAATTGTAGACACTACTTGCCTATCAAATATCCATTCTCTTCTTATTTCTTAATAACAGATCCAAATTTTTGTTTGGATCTAGCTAAAATACTTACCTCCCCAGACAAGCAATGGCCCTGAGAACCAGTTCTGGCCAAGGAGATGCAAGCAGGAATCACTGAGTACGCGCTATTGGGAAGGCGGCTGACTTGCCTAGCAACCACCTCTTGTCTACATAGTGTGCAAATATGCTAGGAGTGCAGTCATTTTTTTTTGGCCCAAAAGACAAAAATTGCATGCAGTCTGGCATAATGAAGCCTGAGTCCCTCATGGCATCATGAAGCCCTTTGATCAGTCCTGAACTGCCTACAGTGGAAATTCTTGTTATAAGGAAAAAAACCTTTCTGATTAAGCATTTAAATTTTAATCTGGTTTCTGTTACATGCAATTAAAAGCAATCTTAACTGATACACTATCATTCTGGAGTGCTTTTTCCTATTTAATTACATTAAACATTAAAAGATAACCTTCAAATAATTCCTATTATAAAAGGTAACCTTATTATATAATTATAATTTTGCAATAAACAATATTCATTTGTATGTCATTCAGGCAGACTCTTGGCTGCCAACCCAACAACCATGTCTCCTACATTTATGTTAACAGAATTCTAATTTTGTTTAGATAGCATTTTGTTCAGCCCCTGGGATAAATCTTGATTGGTGTATATAAAAATTATAGCTATCCTTTCTCTCTTGCCAGTAATTTGTCTAGAAATGACAGTGTAATGCCACTCTGGTCAATGAGACCTAAGAGGAAGTCTACTGGAAGACATCTGGGAAAGATTTACCATCCTGAAAAAAGACATGTGAGAGCATTTTTTTTCCCTCCTTCAATTTCTTGAGGTTGTATTGTATGAAGACGTACTGTTTGGAGCTACAGCAGCCATCTTGTGAAAATAAAGAGAAATATTATTGGCACTGTAGTGATGACCTAATGTAGACAATCTGTGACACTAACCAGGTTTTCTTGTAACATAAACAATAAGTGGGGCAGGCGCAGTGGCTCATGCCTGTAATCCCAGAACTTTGGGAGGCCAAGGTGGGCAGATCACCTGAGGTTGGGAGTTCAAGACCAGCCTGACCAACATGAAGAAACCCCGTTTCTACTAAAAATACAAAATTAGCCCAGCATGGTGGCCCATGCCTGTAATCTCAGCTACTCGGGAGGCTGAGGCAGGAGAACCGCTTGAACCCGGGAGTCAGAGGTTGTGGTGAGCCAAGATCGAGCCATTGCACTCCAGTCTGGGCAACAAGAGTGAAGCTCTGTCTCAAACAAAAACAAAAACAAAAAACAATAAGTGTATTTATATGCTTTAAGCTTCTGTTAATTTTTTTTATTTGTAGACAAAAGCATTCCTATTGACATGTTTATTCAGAAAACATTTATTATTCATTTTCCATGTGTCAGAAACATTATCAGTAAACATAATCAATTATTTTGCCTTCATACAGCTTACTTTTGAAGGGAAAGTAATATTACATAAATAAATTATATCATAAGTAAGTTATAGTATATATTAGAAAGCAATAGGGGCTACAGAGAACAGGAAGACAGGAAAGACATGGAGTGTGCAAGTGTTGGTTGGTCAGGGAAGGTCCACTGAGAAAATAATGTTTGAGGAAAAACTCAGAGTTGGTAAGGGAGTTATCTTTGTGGATTTCTAGACAAAGAGAGTTTCCGGCAGAGAGAACGGCAACTGCAAAGGAGCTGTGATGGGATGGGAGAGTGCCTGGCACCTTCAAAGAGTGCCAAACAGACCCCTATGGCTACAGCGGAATGGGAGAATATGAACAGAAACTGGCCAAACAGACCTGGGAGGACAAGATTGCCTGGGACCTAGTTAAGACCTTGGCTTTTATTCTGAATAAGCTGAATGGTCATTCAAGAATTTTGCATAGAGAAATAACATGATTCAACTAACATGATTCAACTAGAATCATATAAACTACTGTTTTGAGAATAAATACAGAGGAGTGTATTGGGGTCATGGCAGTAGTTATGCTGAAACAAAGAGACCTGCCAAATTACAGAGGCTTGAATAAGGTTTACTTCTTGGGATGTTGGTAGTGTGGTTCTGTTCCATGTGGTCAGTCAGGGACCAGATTACATGTTTTGTTGTTCCCTATCCTTTCAATCATGTTTTTATCTTGCTTGTGTTCACAGGATCATGACATCTTGCAGAAAAGAGGAAGAGAGAATTTCTAGGACAAATGGCTTGTTTTTTACATTAGAGATGAACCAAAAGTTGCACACTTCACCTCTGCTCACATCCCATCCTTCTTAATCATATAGCCACAACTTGCTTCAAGTGAGACTGAAAATACAGTCCCTAATGGGGGAAGAGGTGATGACCATGTGTACAGCCTAAGTTTTTTTTAAGAAAAAAAAAAAAAAGGGCCGGGTGTGGTAGCTCACACCTGTAATCCCAGCACTTTGGGAGGCCGAGGCGGGCAGATCACAAGGACAGGAGATCGAGATCATCTTGGCTAACATGGTGAAACCCTGCCTCTACTAAAAATACACAAAATTAGCTGGGCATGGTGGCACGTGCCTGTAGTCCCAGCTACTCAGGAGGCTGAGGTAGGAGAATAGCTTAAACTTGGGAGGAGGAGGTTGCAGTGAGGCAAGATCGCACCACCGCACTCCAGCCTGGGTGACAGAATGAGATTCTGCCTCAAAAAAAAAAAAAGAAAAAAATTAAAAAAGAAAAAAAGAGAAACAAATTGGTTGGAGGCCTATAAGTTTATGCTACAAGGACTAAAGATAGAACCAGAGGGAGCCTTGGACACCATTGCAATAACATCCTAGTACATGACAGTGTCTTGGACCATAGTGGTAGGAAAGGAGATGAGGAGAAGTGGTCAGATTCTGGATACATTTTGAAGGTATATCCACTAGGATTTGCTGATAAATTGCATGTGATATATGAAAAATATAGAGGAATTAGGAACCTGTCTACTGTTTTTAGTCTGAGCAACAAAAATAATGGACTGGCTAAAACTGAGATGGAGCAGAGTATGGGTGAAGCTGGTGGCTTAAGGAGGAAAATTATGGGTTTTAGATATAATAAATATATGGCTAATTCAATATATAAATGAAGATGAGAAGTAGAAAGTTGAATATTATATGTTAATGAATATATATAATTTTTTTTTGAGATGGAGTTTTACTCTTGTTACCCAGGCATGTGTGCAATGGTGTGATCTCAGCTCACTGCAACCTCTGCCACCCGGGTTCAAGCAATTCTCTGCCTCAGCCTCCCAAGTAGCTGGGATTACAGGCACCTGCCGCCACACCTGGCTAATTTTGTATTTTTTTAGTAGAGACGAGGTTTCTCCACGTTGGTCAGGTTGGTCTCAAACTCCTGACCTCAGGTGATCCACCTGCCTTGGCCTGTCAAAGTGCTGGGATTACAGGTGTGAGCCACCATGCCCAGCCATGAATACATGTTTGTATTCATTTGAGAGAGCTATTGTTTTTTTATTTTATGGAGACATAATGTGTTATTTAATAAGCACCTATTAATGGAAATATAGTTTTTCCCCAGTTTTTAGAAAAACTAGTATTAAAAGTGCTCTGATTAACATTTTTCAACATTTATTTTTGATATGTGCCTTCCTGAAAATAGTTAATATAACAGGACTGAATTCCTGTCCTTAGAAAGGCCTGCTTATAAATTTGACTTTTGGTTGATGTCTGGTAACAGATTTTGCAAGGGTTCCTATTATTAACTGATAATAGTAGCTCACTATGCCTAACCTTTTTGTATAAACAATATGGTTTTTACTGAACACCTATTTTCCTTGTGTGTCTGGAATTTTGGTACATGCCAAGCAAAGGTTGCCTATGTGATCCATCCCCAGTAAAAACCGTGGGCATTGAGTATCTCAAGAGCTTCTGTGGTTGGTGTTTCACATAAGTTATTGTAACTTGTTGCCGGGGAAATTAAGCATATCCTGTGTGACTCCTCTGGGCGAGGACTTTTGAAAGCTTGTGCCTGGTTTTCCCTGGACATTGCCCCATGCACATTTTCCTTTTGCTGATTGTGCTTAGTATTTTTTCACTATAATAAATTATGAGTATGAACATATGCTGAGCCCTGTGAGTCCTCTCAGTGAATTACTGAACCTGAAGGTGGTCTTGGGGATTCTCCAATTATTTCCTTAGGCTACATTCTCAATGCTAAAATTGCCACTCATTTAAAATCTGATATACAATGCTAATCTACTCCTACCAGCAATGTTGGCATTATCAACCTTTTAAATGATCTATCTAATAGGTGAAAAATTATATTTTTGTTAATTTTCATTTTAAATTTCTATTTGAAACCTCTTCTTTGTACCTATTAACTAAATTTTTTCTTTAGCAAAGATATATACTTTTCCTGTTTTAAGCTTCATTTAAAACTCCAATTAATGTTTTTAATCCTATTATTTAGCTTATTATTTTTCTTCAAGGATATTTAGGGCTCAGGAAGAAAGTTAGAAGCCATTAAGTTCTTTAAAAAGTGCTTTTTAGGCTAGACATAGTGGCTCATGCCTGTAATCCCTGCACTTTGGGAGGCCGAGGCGGGCGGATCACCTGAGGTCAGGAGTTAGAGAACAGCCTCGCCAACATGGCAAAACCCTGTCTCTACTAAAAATACAAAAAAAATTAGCAGGGCGTGGTGGCATGTGCCAGCTACTAGGGAGGCTGAGGCAGGAGAATCGCTTGAGCCCAGAAGGCGGAGGTTGCAGTGAGTCGAGATTGCACCACTGCACTCCAGCCTGGGTGACAGAGCAAGATTTTTTCTCAAAAAAAAAAAAAAAGTGTTTTTATTCCTCCTTTCATGTACTGCTATTTATTCAAGACCTAAATATAAAGATGCAAGACAAAGGGAAGTTAAGAATCTTCTGATTCTTAACTTTGTGTTGAGGAAGGATGCCATAGTTAATTTTGTCCTGCTATAAAAGAGTACCTGAAACTGGGTAAGTTATAACGAACATAAATTTATTTTCTCACAGCTCTGGAGGCTGGGAAGTCTAAGATCAAGGATCTGGCATATGGCAAGGACTTTGCTGCATCATCAGATGGAGGGAGACAAAAGGACAAAGAAGCAAAAGGGGTTCAAATTTGCCTTATTATAATGGCATTAAGCTGGCTCGTGTAGGCAGAGCCCTCATGGCCTAATCACATCTCAAAAGTCCCACCTCTTAATACTGTTACAATGGCAATTAAATTTCAACATGAATTTTGAACAGAACAAACATTCAAACCACAGTAAAGGAAAAACTATTCTCTATTTCTATTTCTATTGGTATTAGGATGAATTTAAATGATTTTCTGTGCTTCTGGGTAGCTGAGAAGGTAACAGGTATGCTCTTTAGGAATTCCAAGTGAAAGGAGTTAATGAAGGTGCTTCGTCATGGAGCAGTTCTCCCAAAACTTTGTTGCTCCAACAGTTGTGAAGTGGAAAGTACTATATGAAAGTTTGAATTATTGGTCCCAGCTTTTAAACCCTCTGCCCATGATGAGAGTATTAGCCTTCTCATCTGATCTGTTGAGTCTCCTCAATTCTCCAACATGCTGACCCTTTCTCAGTTCTCCAAAACAATGGTAAGAATAGGCTGTATGTTTTTAATGTTTGATTCTGATAACAACACAGATAACTTAACACTGGACAACTGGCAGGTCTCAAAGTAAGTAAGCTGAAGCCCTTTCCTAAGTATATCCTACTGAGCTCCTTTTTCTGATATCCTGGCTTAATTATTGTGGCAGATGTTTGTTTTCTGTCCCACATCTAATTAGCCTGCTCTAATTCTGCAGAAACAGTTTACTTCTCAACAGAAACCTGCTGCCCCTTTCCAAAGCCAAGTCCCCTAATTTCTGACTGCCATAAAAGAAAAACCTTTTCCTTTCACCTCTTCTAAGAACTACTGTTTCAGTCTTTTCCTTTGTCATGATGGCCTGTTCCCAGGAAAATTAACAATGGGAACATGGTGCAGTAAACCCTACCCTCTGATATGTGGTCTTATTCTTTGGCTTTCCCAAAATGAGTGCTCTGTGGTGGAGCAGGCAGTACAATTTCCAAATGTGGGTTATTTAGTCTTGAAAAATAACTTGTGTGAGACCACATTACTACATTACATCAGTGTGGGTCAAACCCAATCTAGCTGCTTTACAGTCTTGTTGAAATGGGAAGCAGTCTGCACAAATTTCCAGTTCTTGCTTTGTCTTCCTGACTTCATTTGAGCAACATAAGCTCTCTCTCTCTCTCTCTCTCTCCCACAAACACACACACACACAAACACACACACACACACAAACACACACACACAGAACTAGCAATAATATATTTGGTGCAAGTTTATCTCATTGGAAACAATCTGCTGCAGGCATAGATTTGGCAAAAGATATACGCCATTTACATTACAAACAGAACTCCTAATTTCTCAGGCTGAGGGGTTTTACTTTCCATCTCTTAGTAGGTAGAAACTTATTGCAAACTTTAATGAAGTAATTCTCAAAAGGGACTCTCCTAGAAAGTATTTAGAATTTGTGAGAGATGTTTTTTCGTCACAATGATTGGGTGGCACTACTGGCATTTAGTGATTGGGAGCTATGCATCTTAAATACCCTGTACTATGAGAAACAGTCTCATTAAACACAAAACTGCTCTGGGTCTTGCACCACTTTTAGATGTCTCACTGCATATTTATGATTTGGAAAGCCTGTTTATAATTTTCTGAGCCTAGAATCCAATACCATTCTACCTATGAACAAAAGTATGTTCAGAAGATTTTTATATGCTTGAAATTTTTTAGGAATGCAACTATGGGGCAAATCTAGGGAAAATTGTAGTTTTTTCTTGTAAATCTTTTCAAGGGTTGTTCACCATTTTGGAAAATCCTGTCACTGACATCCAACTCTACCCCTGGTATTTGAATTGCTGGTATAACTTACTCTGATCAGTTAGCATTTATTGCCTCTCTCATGGTGATTTCAAATGTCAAACAAATATAAAGAAAAGTATCCACATTTCAGCTGAATATTTTCTTATGTCTTTTAATTGCAAACTTTTCATGGTAATAGGTGCAAGAATCGACCTACTTTATAGGTCTTCTTGTTTAGCTGTGCTTATAAATTTACAACAATAAAATGTATTATTTTATTTTAAACTTAATTCCTTTTTTTGTATTACAGACAGGGTACTAAATTGTCTTTTTATAGTGAAATTGTATGCTTCTTCATCATGCCAACAATGAGTTGCATTTCAGGATAATAAAATGGTTACTTCGAAGCATTTGTTCTAAACACAGCGTGTTAGGTCTGATAGGCTGAAGAAGCACTGGTTTGAAGGATGTTTTTTCTCGTCTGTATCAGGAATTCTAAATAGTCTTGGTATCCATTCTCAACCTAGAATTATTTCATCACAAATGTAAAACATCTTAAGAAGTTTGCAATCTAGTTGGGAAGGTAAAACAAAGACATGTAACATTAGACAACAATGAGGTACTCATGACATACTAACCTAGGCTTTCTCTAGTTTTGGGTTTTTGTTTTGTTTTGTTTCATTTTACAAGTGTGGGCAGATTTAAATCTTGACGATATTTCAGAACTAAGCATCAGAAGCACATAGAATTTGCAAAAGTAAATTTGACACGTACTTAATCATAATGCATAATTTTTATTGTCCTGAATGATAATTAGGAATCTGTAGTAAGACATTTTTTAATGACTGCAATTATATTATTGTTATAAAATCAAACTGTTTTTCTCTCTTTTAAAAAGTTAGTTTTCCTGATATTTTTGAATATAAATGATAAATATTAAGTTTATCTGACTCTATAGGCAGTTTAAATTTGATCACACTCATACCAACTAACGCATTTAAAAATCCAAAATCTTGGATTTCTACTTTACAGACTTATAAGGATTAAATTGTTCAAGTTTATATTGTTGAAGATGAATTATGTCTCTCAAACCTTTTCTCTTATTTTTGAGCCACAACTCAGGACAAGCAAGACCACACTGCTCCTACCTGTCTCCTCTGCCCTAAGTGACCTCGTCACATGAAGAATAAGAGCAGAGTGAACAAAGTGGTTAAGGGGAAGGTCCAGGGTTAGGGAACAATGCATTTGGTACTTTTATTCATGTCTTCATTCACGAATATTTGTGTGTCCTTCTTGGTGCTAGTGGACAACATGCCTGTTCTTTCTTTCCTTAAGGGCCTGTCTGAGAGTACAAGGGAACACAGATGGGGCTCTGAAGCTATGGATATATGCCCAGACTTGGGATAAAATATTTTTTCAGCTTTTCACATACTGCAAGTGCTAGCTTTTGTTTTTAGTTGTCAAGTACGTTAGTCAGGTTACTGGTCAACTCCCATCACTTCTTCTAGTGGCAAAGGTTATCTCCTTGGGTGTATGGCTCAGACCAGGTCAGTGAGAATACCTCTCCCTATGGTGAGGTAGGTCATGTGACCCAAGTCAGTATTTTACCAGGAATGTTGTAAATGGAACTAACTTTTGAATACCAGAGTTAGAAATTTATGAAAATAGATGCCAATAGTTTTTTTTCTTGATCTTGTGGAGAATGCCTATTTGCAGTAGGAGATAATAAAACACCAGAGAGGGCATAGATCAAAGGAAAGAGAGAGAGAGATAATGGGAGAAAGAGAGAGAGAGAGACAATTGCGGGGGAGAGAGAGAGAGACAATGGGAGAGAGTGAGAGAGAAAGAGAGACAATGAGAGAGAGAAAGGGGGGTAGAGAGAGAGAGGGGGAGAGAAAGAGACAACGGAAGAGAGAGAGAGAGAATGCATTGAATACCATTTCCAGGTCTGAGGTTCTAAAACCTGACACTCCTTAGTGTTAGTGTATTAAGGATTCTGGACAGAGGAGGCTGCCTCTTCAACTCAGTATCACACTTCACCATCTGGAGCTCAAAGCAGCACTGTTCATGCCCAGGGCACAGAATGTGTCTTACATAAGCAGTTCCTTCAACCTCTGGTCCCCAGGTCCTTATCTGATACCAGCAATGTCCTCAACTCACATCTCCCAAGAAAGGCAACCATTTTCAGGTTTAGAGGAGTCTTAATCTCAGGAGAGACATTCCCTCAAGGGAACTAAATCTGTGGAAATGCAATTCTTGTCTACCAAGTAAAAAAGCTTTTGCATAACTAAACAAAATCCTGTCTTCTTCTAATTCTGCCTTTGCTGTACATTTACATAACATTCAAGAGGTTTAATCAGAACAAAGTAGCCAGTTGTCTCTGATCTATTTCCATGTTTTTGTGAAACAAAAAACTGTTGGCGGTTTTGAAATGGCAGTTCTTTCAGCTCTTACTCTTCTAAAGCAAAGTGTCAAGACTCAGTTCAAGCTCGAGCTCAAGGTACCATCATGCCCCTTTCTTCCCCTTAGGAGTTTGTGCAAGGAGTTCTTCATAGCTTATGCTCTACAAATGGGAACTGAGCCCATAGGGATGGTAGTGTAGGTGACTTTCTTTCCCATTTTCCTCCAGATATCACTGTAATGTTCCTGGGAAGATGATGAACATCTGAGTGGGGTTATTCTGTGAATAGTTAGAAATGTAATACTGAAATATCATGAAATGACAAGGTAAGAAAGAGAAATTTAAGAGCAAATGCAGTGGAGGTAAGAGTTAATTAATCTGTCATGTGGTGGATTCAGAGTGCTGTGACTTTAAGAATAATTGTGGCACACTTTTGGGGACAGATCCAGAAGCCTTTAAATGAGACCAAGTTAGGGCATAATGTAGTTCATTAGTTCTCCTTGGTTGGACTTCAAGGCCTCCTAATTCCTTGTCTCACCTCTTCATATCATTGCCAAATAATAGCTGCAATCCTGATCAGCCCCTTTCAACTTGAGTTCTCACAATAGCCCTCTCCTCAGTCTTTATGTTTTTGCCACTTGCCTGGGTTCCTGAAATGGCCCTACTGCTCTTTCTGCTTTTGCTATTGACATTAAGAGCATAGAGGAGATTCTGGCATGACATATGACACAACACAGCTTTAATATTAGGTTTTTATTTCCTATGATGAAAAGCAATGGGCATTTAAAAGAAAGATGCATAATAACTACAATTAGGTTTATTTTAGGATGTCACTGGAAGGGAAGCTTAAAATACACTGGATTTCAATTAGAGTGTGAGAATTAATAATGGAATTGACCTCAGTCTTTCCTCATTATCATCTCATTCTTTAGTAAGAGGCTGGGAGCACACACTGAGGTAGATTCAGAGTTGGGTGTGATGCCATAGGTACATTGCATGGTTAGGAGAATCTAGGGTGTAGGACTTCTGCTAGGGATGGCTGTATTAAATATTGCCATTTTGGAGTTGTGGTGTGTCAGATTCTATATGTTGGTTCCTGTGTTAGGGTTCTCTAGAGGGACAGAACTAATAGGATAGATATATATATAAAGGGAAATTTATTAAGTAGCATTAACTCACATGATCACAAGGTCCCACGATAGGCCATCTGCAAGCTGAGGAGCAAGGCAGCCAGTCTGAGTCCCAAAGCTGAAGAACTTGGAGTCTGATATTCAAGGGCAGGAAGCATCCAGCACAGGAGAAAGATGTAGGCTGGGAGGCTAAGCCATTCTAACCTTTCCACATTCTTCTGCCTGCTTTTAATCTGGCCACGCTGGCAGCTGATTAGATTGTGCCCACCCAGATTAAGGGTGGGTCTACCTTTCCCAGCCCACTGACTCAAATGTTAATCTCCTTTGGCAACACCCTCACAGACACACCCAGGGTCAATACTTTGCATCTTACAATCCAATCAAGTTGACAGTATTAACCATCACAGCTCCCATAATGCCCACTCCACTCCCTCCATTTCCCACCTGCCTTTTTCTTTACTTTATTAGGGTGTCTGTAAAACCTAAAGACTCAATTGCTCACCCTTTCTTGAAACTATGGTGGCCATGTGATATGTTTCTAGCCAATGGATTATAAGCAAATGTGATTTGGTGCCATTACTTTCCCTCTCTTCTTTTTGCCTGGTTTGTGGTTTTGAGGCCTAGAGGCACTGATGTCATTTGGTACCATGAGGCAAAGAGTAAAAGAAAAATGACAGTATGGTAAGGATGGCAGACCAAAAAGGTAGAGAGTGCATGGGTGCCCAATGGCATTGTAAGTATCAGCCCAGAACTTCTACCCTGGGATTTGTGTCACCTTGTGGCAGGCCAGGTCTCACTAACACAGGCCTTCATAACAACTGTTTCAGTACTAACTGAGTGGTTAAGTTAAATATTAAAAGCTGATAGAGCCAGTGCCCTTATACAAAGGCTGGAATGTAACAAAAGCCCACTAAGAGTTTTGCCTAGGCCTTTTCTGGGCCTTAAAGCATGGTAAGGTAATGAAGGAATTTCTTAATGGGACCCATTTAGGATTAAACAAGTTTTATTGGGGGCCTGAAGAAACTCCCCAGACTTCCACAAACAAGTTTACTGGGGACTAAAGGAACTCCCCAAACCTCCATAGCTTAGCAGTAGACAAAATAAGGATAATCACCCCAGGATCTAGACCCATTTAGATTAAGTAAATTTACTGAGGCTCCAGAGGAAGGTCTTTAGGATTCACATCTTAGTTATAGATTATAAGAAGTTAATCACTTTTGTCTTTAGATGAATATATATAAGCTCTGGAAAACTTTGTAATTTTGATTTGGTCGGTGACAATTTCCAGGCCTTCTCCCTGTAACCAGTTACAGATATAAACTCTCTTCTCTCCCAGTTCATCTGCATCTTGTTATTGGGCCATGAGAATAAGCAGCCCGACCCTCGGTTTGGTCTGGGAATAAAATGAGCCAGTAAACTCCTATTTCTTTAGGCCAGTGCTTCCGACCCTTTTCCGTGTCTCACCACACATACTCATATGCTACATGTGGGTAGCTAGACAAAGCTGCTTAGAACTGGAGACAATCTGTGCCTCAAGCGACTACCCAAGACTAAATGATAAATATCTCAGCTTACTTTTAACCATTTCCTATTCTCAGAGAATTTTGATGTGAGCCACTTTTTAAAAATTTTTACTTATTTATTTTTTCTTCTTAAAATCCAGTCCAATTTAGCAATGGGGGGTTATATACCAACTTTAGTGACAACAGTGTTAATAAATTCTGATAACCCACTACCATCAGACTAGCCTGGTTTAAGCCTCTTTTCGTTATGGTTTCTCTTCTCTGAAGCTGAACACATCACAAATACACTGGAATTTGAAGAGGGTGTTGGGAGGCAAGGAGGTAAAGGTTAGCCTGAGAAAGAGGGAATGGTTTGGTAACTTAAAGTCATGATGAAGGTGACTACCTAGTTAATCTTTGTGAGGTAAAAGCAGGAAATGTGGCATGTACAAAATAAATTATCTTAAAGGATAATTTCTTAAAGGATTTCTGATTTAAAGAATTCAGGGGTCAGTTATTGTGAAGAGAAAAACAAAGTAAAGGCTCTGCAGGAGCTTGGCTAGTGGAATGGGGATGAAGGTCTACAGAGTCAAGGAAGGAAAGAAATATGAACTAAAGAAACTGGAGCTGTGAAATTCCCTCAGTATGTAGAAGATACTGGTGTACAGAAAGAATATGCTGTTGAAGGATGAAGGTATCAAAGGAGAAGGAAGAAGATTTTGCTAGAGGAGAACTATAATGCTTTGAAGTGGGAGAAGAGATTTGGACTGAAGATATACATTTCTTTTTTTCTTTTTCCTTTTTCTTTTTTTTTGTTTTGAGACGGAGTGTCACTCTGTCGCCCAGGCTGGAGTGCAGTGGCGAGATCTTGGCTCACTGCAAGCTCCGCCTCCCAGGTTCACGCCATTCTCCTGCCTCAGCCTCCTGAGTAGCTGGGACTACAGGCGCCCGCCACCTCGCCCAGCTAATTTTTTTGTATTTTTAGTAGAGACAGGGTTTCGCCGTGTTAGCCAGGATGGTCTCGATCTCCTGACCTCGTGATCCGCCCGCCTCGGCCTCCCAAAGTGCTAGGATTACAGGCTTGAGCCACTGCGCCCGGCCAAAGATATACATTTCAAATGATGAGATTGGAAGGGAGGGTGCTGGCTCTATTATCTGGAAGTAGCATTGGGAATATAGGAGAAAATCAACCATATATTTTTCCTTTTCCTACCCTTGTTCTCCCACTTACTCACTTGACCTTTTCTTGCTCCTCCTGTGGTCAATTTAGTTCAGATTGCAACACTGGAAATAAAATATACGGATGAGTAGATTTCTCTGAACTGTCTTTCCTGATTAGGAGTTAATAACAATTAAAAATAATTATTATAATTATATGTAATTAATATATGTATAATATATACCTATGTACCTATAGATAATTTAGGTATTATGGATAACACATTGTTGAACATATAATAGGTGTCTGACACCATTCGAAGTGCTATACACTCATGTATTAACTCACTTAACCCATCAACTTTGTGTTAAAGTGGCATTGAGCATTATGATTTGGTTTGTGACAAGGAATGCTGGACAATTAAGGGGATGATTTTATTTGGGCAATTGCAATAGGGAAAACATTCATTAATGAAAAACATTAAAGCATCTCAAAGAACAGGGAGAGGCTTGGGGTTTTATAGATGCAGATAAACAAAGGAGCCATATGAGAGTTATGAGGAAGGATGGAGACAGCTTCAAACATGTGAGGCCAAGGTTGTATTTTGTAGTTAGCCATTTCCTCAAATACAAAATGGTACAAGGATTTCTTTCTTTCTTTTTTTTTTTTTTGAGTTGGAGTCTTGCTCTGTCACCCAGGCTGGAGTACAGTGGCATGATCTCAGCTCACTGCAACCTCTGCCTCCTGGGTTCAAGGATTCTCCTGCTTCAGCCTTCTTAGTAGCTGGGACTACAGGTGCACACCACCCCACCCAGCTAATTTTTGTATTTTTAGTAGAGACAGGGTTTCACCATGTTGGCTAGGATGGTCTCGATCTCCTGACCTCATGATCCACCTGCCTCAGCCTCCCACGGCCTGGGATTACAGGCGTGAGCCACCGCGCCTGGCCCAGTACAAGGATTTCTTAACAATTGCTGCTTAGAACACAGGGCTCAGAACACTATCAGGCAGTGGAAGAATGCAATGAGTGTATGAATGTAGCATACAATTTAATGAAAACTTTCAAACTCTACACCCCTAACTCAAACATTTTGACTTAAATTAAGGGTTATTATTCTACAAGTTAACTAAAATTATCTACTTAGGGTCATCCTCACTGCTACATTTTTTAAAAAGCCAAATAAAATTGAGAAGTTATTATAATACAAAATGACTACTTAAAATTTTTAGCTAGCCTCCCAAATGGTCTATTTTTGGTAATAGTGTCAACAGTGAGAGGCAAATCAAGAAATTATCAATAAGAAAAATAAGATTGCCTTCTGAGAAAGCTACTCTTAGTGGCTTAAAAACAAAAAACCGGGAACAGTGTCGTCTAAGTCATCCCCAGACCTAAGCAATAGTTATCCCGTTAGGTTATCCCCATACCTAAGCAATAGTTGAGTACCTACTCTATGCAAAGCACTATTTGCATAAATTTGTGACCTTGTAGGAATCGACTTGGAGACTTTGTAGAATTGCAGAGCTAAAGAATTTGAGAATACTCCAAAACTCCAATCAAAATAACCTGGCCGCAGTCTCAAGAGGCAGGTCTAGAATATGATTAACATTTAATAAGTAAAACCCTAAGCAGTGGTATTATGCCTTATTTGGAGAGACTGTATAAACAAAAAGGTAAATTCTATCTGGAGTAGAGAAAATGGAAACCCAAAATGAAAAGTTGCTAATACCCACTCAAGCATTGTCAGGGCAGAGAATGATCAGGCTGATGAAAGTGTCCTGGTGAGGTGAGAGCGCCAAGCTTCTTTAACCTGATTCCATTAGCCATTTGAATTCTATAACTAATGTTCCTATTCTAATTCCATGCTTATTAAGCAACATTGTAATTCTAATTTGGCTTCCTGTGGCTGTCAGAGCGACAAATCTTGGACTTAGTGAGATTTGTATTGTCTGTACTAACCATGGCAAAATTGAACTGCAACCATGCATTTAGCTATTTCTTTACAGATACATTATTAACTATTCCACCCTGGAAACTGAGAGACTGAGAAACAGAAGCAGTAAAATGGCTAGAATTATATTTCAGGTATACTGTATATCTCAGGCTGCAGTGTGAAGATGGGATTTAAAAAATACAATACTGTAATCAGGCAGACAAGTTAGAAGTGTGTTGCTGAGATTGTCCAGGCAGGGGATAATGAGGGCCTGAACTAGGGGTGTGTAGGATTATAGGAATGTGGAGCCAAAACAGGAAATATTTCTCTGCACCTGATGACCAGTCCTAGATACTATTTTCTAAATCTACTCACTTGATAAGTGAGCAATATTTTCTCATTATTTAGATTTTAATCACTCATTACTTATGAAGATGCAGGTTTATTACTTGATTGATTATTTTGCTTAACTACTATTTAACTTTTTAAAATTTAATTTTTCTTTCATAAAATTCTTTAGATTTTGAATAACAACAGAGTCAAACTATTGAGAATAACCAACAATGGCAATAGGGGCGTTTAAACACTGAAAACCAAATAGAACAAATTGAAATACAAAGCAATCCTATTTTACTTTAATGTAATGCATTAATTTTGGTCTGACCTTCAGCTTTGATTTACACAAAGTTGCCTGGGAGACAGAATTTACTGACTCAGCATAGACCAAAGGACTTGTGTTGTAAGAATCTGAAGATTTAATTCTAAGGAATAGAATAAATTCCTCCAGAATTCAATCAGTTCAAAGGCTCAGAAAAATAATTTTTAAAATAAGACTAGAAGAGCAATTCATAAGCAAACTCTATGGAAATATTTTTCTTCCTGGTGTTTATTTATTGTACAGTAAGCAAAGATAATAGCAACAAAGGACTTACAATTTTTTCCATGGACCAAAGATTTTTATAACCCAAACTCAAATTCGAATGATGTACAACTAGCATCTCTTAATTACCTTACAAATCATCTTTTTCTCATTTTCTTTTCTTTTGTTACTCTCAAATACTTCTTAGTATGAAAGTAACATGTAAGCACTATAGCACTGTGAAAAGGATTCTGAAATCAGATCTGGGCTTTTACAGTAGCCCTGTAACTGACACATCACATGTTCATAGCATTTTTTTGAACTTTAGTTTTCTCTTCCATAAATAAAAAATTACATGATTCTTCTAAGGATTAGATAGGGCCAGATTATACATTAAGCACACAGTGGATGTAATTCTCTCTTATTCCACAAGTTGTTTTTAAATATGATAATCATTTACACTGAATTTTGAATTGATTTTACAGGTGTGCTCCAAAAGATCAATGCAAAAAAATCCATACTTGGGCCAGGCACAGTGACTCATGCCTGTAATCCCAGCACTTTGAGAGGCTAAGGTGGATTGCTTGAGGAGTTCAAGACCAGCTTGGGCAACATAGTGAGACCCCATCTTTACAAAAAATAAAAAAAATTACCTGGGCCTGGTGGCACACATGCCTGTAGTCCCAGCTACTTGGGTGGTGAGGTGGGAGGATCACTTGAGCCCAGGAAGTTGAGGCTGCAGCGAGCCATGATCAGAACACTGCACTCCAGCTTGGGCCACAGAACAAAACCCTGTTAAAGATATAAAGAAATAAATAAATAAACAAATCCATGCTTACTTCAGCTTTCCTGAGCACATGTGAGGCTGCCCTTTCATTAAAGTCTATAATCTATACCTGAAATATCTTTACCTTTTTGTTCAGTACTGCCTCCAACTCATAGGAATGCTTAATTAACTGCAGACCAAAACCAAAACAATTTAAACCTTATAATAAGCAAAGGGGAATTTAAGAAATTACAAAAATTCTTGAAAACGACAAGTACTAATTATCCCTAAAATTTCTTACAGTCTTCTTATTTGTGTTATCTGTTTTTTGTTTTCCAGCACCATGCTGTGCCTAACACAGTGGGTATGACTTGAAGGAGCCCTGTAAGTAGGCAATTTGCTGCCCATCTCATGGAGGGAAAAGGTGAAGAACATCCAACACTATTTGCAAAAGTAGATTCTTGCAGCCTGAGATGAATTTTGGGTCCCACTGCTGCTAGAACCAATAGAATCTTTAGTCCCTTGCAGACATCCCCTTTTTCTCTCTGAGCACAAACCACAGATGGGCCGCTCCTCAATCTAGGTCAGAATCATACTGGCCCTAGATCTGTGGTCACCTTGTTTTTCTTTTTTGATAGATGTTAAGGGTCAGAGCATCTTAAGCTAATACTTGATCTTAGTATGTCTTCTGTTCTTTTTGATTTGCCTCAGGAATATTCTTTAGCCAGAGGCGTATGTGAGTTTTTTTTTCAGGTAGAGTTCAGCTATTTGAACAATTGATTTAAACTAGTGTGTGAACCTCTTCTCACTAATGGCCAAATAGCCCATAGTAGCAGCAGGTTCTTCCAAATTTGAAATGTTTGCTTCCTTTAAAATCTCCAGCATAATTCTCATTTTTGGTCTGCAGGGAATGGTTCCTAGAGTTCTCAGCTCAGCTGTCTATCAGAGACAGATGAAATACCATGAATTCAAGGAGTCTCTGACTATTGCCTCTTTTAATTATTTCTCTGCAATGGAAAGTAAAAAGTCTATTATTAGGTGACAACTGATTCAGGTAATCAATTGGATGCTAAACTATCCCATACACAACAGGAAACTTACATGGTCTCAACTTATCCAGTCACAAATTACCAATTAATTATAAAAGGAAAACTAGTAACTTTATAGGGGAGCAACCTGGCAGACAGCACCTTAATTGAGTGATCAAAGTTAACATCACCAATAATGGGACTGAGTGGAGAAAACTCAAACGGTTTTCCTCTGCTTTCACACTACAACAACACAGAATATTTCTGTGACCAGATGTGTGGGTTCCCCCTCTCCCTGCCACACCAAGGAGTTCTGTAGCGGACACCAGCTGGATATCCTCTAATTCAATTCAATTCATTTCTGACAGTATCTTCCTGGAGATCCCATGATTGAGGGCTCAGTCTCCAAGACTGCCTCCCACTCCCCACTTCAGATGTCAGTCTCAAGTCCTAGGTTGTTTTACCTGTGCTTCTGACAATTGGTTATAAATTGGGGTCTCATGACCGCCTCCTCAGATTTGGTTAATTTGCTAGAGCAGCTCACATAACTCAGGGAAACATTTACATTTACCAGTACACTATAAACGATATTACAAAGGATATAGATGAAGAGATGCATGTGCTGAGGCATGGGAAGGGGATGTGGATGCCCTCCCCAGGTGAGCCATCCTCCAGGAGCCTCTATGGTTTTGGCTACCTGAAAGCTCTCTGAACCCCGTCCTTTTGGGTTTTTATGGGAGCTTCATAATATAGGCACTATTGGTTAAATCATTAGCCATTAATGATCAACTTAACTTTCCTCTACCCTCCTCAGAGGTGAAAGTCTCAACCTCCTAATCCTGCCTTAGTTTTTGCAGTGACTAGCCCCCATCCTGAAGCTACCTAGAAGCTGCCAACCATCAGTCAATTATTAGCATACAAAAAGACTTTGGGGATTCTAAGGATTTTAGTTGTATGGGTTGGAGATCAAATAAAGCATATACTTTATAATATCACAGTGACAAATAGTCATCAAGTGCCTCCTGATGAGAAATACTGCTAAGAACAACATGAAACTTATATAGTATTTCTGCCAAAAATACATAACCTTAATGAAACCATGAGGACAGCTCAAACAAATCTAGAGGGAGGGATGAAGCAAAATGGCTGAATAGAATCCTCTACTGATCATTTTCCCAACAGGAACACCAACTTTGACAACTATTGACACAAAAAAACACTTTCATAAAAAACAAAAATCAGGTGAGTAACCAATACCTAGTTTTACCTTCATATCGCTGAAAGAGGTACTGAAGGGGGTAGGAAAAACAGTCTCGAATCACTGATATCACCCCTCCCCAGTCCCCTGGCAGTAGCTTCATGGCAAGGAGAGAGAATCTGTGCTCTTGAGGGAGGGAGAGCACATTGAATTCAGTGTTGCCCTGTTACAGTAGAAGGCAAAACTGGGCTGAACTCAGCTGAAGCCTACCTACAGAGGGGACATTTAGACCAGCCCTAGCCAGAGGGGAATTGCCCATCCCAGCAGTCAGAACCTGAGTTCCAGCAAGCCCTGCCACTGTTGGCAAAAGTGCTCTGGGACTTTAAATAAACGTGAAGGGCAGTCTGGGTCATTGGGACTGCAGTTCCTAAGCAGATCATAGTGCTGAGCTGGGCTTGGAGCTGGCAGACCTGGAGGGCATACAACCTACTGGGACACCAGCCAGGGTGACTAACGGAGTGCTTGCATCTCTCCTCCCCCAACCCCAGGTAGCACAGTTCTCAGCAAAGAAAGTAAGTCCTTTCTTCTGCTTGAGGAGAGGAGAAAGAAAAGTAAAGAGGACTTTGTCTTGCATGTTGGACATCAGCTCAGTCATAGCAAAATAGGGCACTGAGCAGAGTTGTGAGGCCCCCTTTCTAAGCCCTAGCTCCTGGATGACGTTGCTAGATGAGATCCTGGGCCAGAAGGGAACCTTAGGCCTTGAAAAGAAAGACCCAGTCCTGGCGGCATTCATCTCCCGCTGACTAAAGAGCCCTTGCACCCTGAATAACCAGCGGTGATAACTAGGGAGTATGCCATGTGTGTTGGGCTGTGAGACATGCTGACTTTAGTGGTGACCCAGCACATTCCCAGCTGTGGTGGCTGCAGTGAAAGACTCATTCTGTTTGAGAAAAGCAGAAGGAAAAGTAAAGTGGACTTTGTCTTGCACCCTAGATACCAGCTCAACCACAAAGGAGTAGAGTAAAAAGCAGGCTTTTGGGGTCCCCGCATCTAGGCCTAGGCTGCTGGACAGCATTTCTGGACCTTCCCTGGGCCAGAGGGGAGCCCACTGACCTGGAGGGTGAGTCTCAGGCCAGGTAGCATTCATCATAAGTTAACCGAAGGTAACCCTTGGGCTTTAAGGGGACATCGGTGGTAGTCTACTCCAATCAGTTGCAGGCTTTAAGAGAAAAAGACAGAGGTACCTCATAGAAGAGAGAATTCTGGCAGCAGACGCCCTTTGGACTCCAATTCTTCCTTGCCAGTCTTCCCTGAGTCTCTAGCCTGCTTGCCTACCCTGAAGATTTTGGAAGTTATAACCCCCACAACTGTGTAGGCCAATGCCTCACAATAAATCTTTCTCTTTCTTGACACAGACAGACACACACACACACACACACACACACACACACACACACACACACACACACACACACACACCTATTGCTTTTGTTTCTGGAGAAACCTGACTTACATAGTTCTCTCAACAGGAATAGCCTTGCCAGCAAGACAAATGTACACACCCAGTGCTTAGATGGGCTTACCTGGGTGATTCCTCTTTTAATCTACTTCCGTAGCCAATCAATATCTCCCTTTCCTTTTTCTGGATACATTCATTCATCAGCTATATTAATATAGTTAATAAGGAATAGTCAACTGTTGCTTACTTGTCTTGGCAAGAAGTCTGTCTTTCGAGTGACTTGACCTATAAATTGACTATATGTAAACACATAGTTTACCTCTTTAAGGACAATCTTATTTACCCAATATTCAAATTCTTGTGAGACCATCACTGCAGCACTTTGTACTAATGACAGTAGAAAGTAAATTAATGTTTTACTTATAGCTGCATTTGAAGTTGGTATACCAGACATTTCCTAGACATCAATGGCTAGTCCAATTGTGTAAGATGATGTTTGGGAAATCTCTTAAGCATTGTTCTTCCTTGTAATTATTTCACTTGAGCTTAGGTATCCTGCTGTTGTATTATTTCCATGTGCCTGCATTTGCATATTTCCATTGTGATAAACATCTGCACTCATCTTTACTTTCTTTTCTCCTGTCTTAGAAAATGAAGTGTCCCTCCTACTGCTCAACCCACTGCCATTTGCCTTTTGCCTTTTCCCCACCTAAAGACTGAAACGATCTTTACTGAAATAATGTATTAAAATTGCCAAATTCACTGGAGTCTTGTCAATCTTTATCTTACCAAATCTCTCTTTATTTCTGATTGTTGAACAAACACTTTTCAGAACTCTATCCTTTCTGCTCTTGGCTTCCCTGACATTATTTATTCTAATTCTAACCACATATGCCTATAAGCCCTGGACAATTTTATTATTTTCCTTGATAGGCTCCTCCTCTTTTGCTGCCAAATCATTAATCATGATTTGTTTCTGTCTTCAGGCACTGCTTTTCTCTCTTTTTCTCCTCATGTTGGATGACCACTAACATGTTTTTTATTTATTTATTTACTTTTTTGGGGGGAGACGGTATTATTACGGATTTGAGTTTTATTATTACTCAAATCCGTCTCCCTGAGCGTTCGAGGACAGGAGTTTTTAAGGACAACTTGGTGTGTGACAGGAAGCTAGTGAACCGGGAGTGCTGATTGGTCAGGTCAGAAATGAAATAACAGGAAGTCGAAGCTGTCCTCTTGCACGGAGTCAGTTCCTGGTTGGGGGCCACAAGATCACATGAGCCAGTTTATCAATCTGGGTGGTGCCAGCTGATCCATCAAGTGCAGGGTCTGCAAAATACCTCAAGCACTGATCTTAGGAGCAGTTTAGGGAGGGTCAGAGTCTTGTATCCTCCAGTTGTGTGACTCCTAAACAATAACTTCTAATCTTGTGGCTAAATTTGTTAGTTCTACAAAGGTAGTCTAATCCCCAGGCAAGAAGGGGGTTTGTTTTGGGAAAGGGCTGTTACCATCTTTGTTTTAAACTATAAACTAAGTTCCTCCCAAAGTTAGTTCCGCCTATGCCCAGGAATGAACAAGGACAGCTTGGAGATTAGAAGCAAGATGGAGTTGGTTAGGTTAGATCTCATTCGCTAAGTTATAATTTTGCAATGGCCGTTTCAATCCCTCCCTGTGGGTTTTATAACACTTTAATCTCAAGATGTTGGCTAAACAAGATGAGAAACAGGCAGAGACCACCCTAACTTCTTCCTGCTGATCAGGGGCATAGTGGTGGTAGGCGTTGACCCCAAGGTAAGAGGAGTGGAATGTCTTTGCCACTGTCTGAGCATACTCACTTAGGCCTGGCTGTGGTTCCAAGGCTTGCATGGCAAAAACGTTAGTATTGTCACCTATAGTTTTAGCACCACATTTAAAGGAAAAGCATACTATAAGATAAACAATGGGCATGAGGGTAAAGAGGGCAATTCCCAGTTTTAAAGTAAAGATTTGAAAACATTAGTTTGGGGACTTGTAGTCCACAAAGAATTTAGGATTTATTCCAAACTGCAGGGAAAAAACAAACAAACAAACAAAAAACAACCCAAGAACAGCTAAGAATGTATATTATAGTCTTTTTTAAGCACAATTTTTCTCTCTCCAGTCCCCATTTTTATTAAAAGCAAGTCATGATAGGATTGATTCATTTGCAAACTAAACTTCAGTCTTATACTTGGCCTGATTATTTGTATAAAGTACAGCAAGAATAATTATTTTTCACATAGGCTCTTTAATATTGGCTTTGCTGAAACTTTGTTCTATAAGGAATCTGAGGTTGTACTTTTTTTTTTTGAGACGGAGTCTCGCTTTGTCACCCAGGCTGGAGTGCAGTGGCATGATCTCGGCTCACTGTAACCTCTGCCTCTCAGTTTCAAGCAATTCTCCTGTCTCAGCCTCCTGAGTAGCTGGGATTACAGGTGCGCCGCCACCAAGCCTGGCTAATTTTTGTATTTTTTTTTTAGTAGAGACGGGGTTTCACCATATTGGTCAGGCTGGTCTCGAACTCCTGACCTCAGGTGTTCGCCCACCTTGGCCTCGCAAAGTGCTGGGATTACATGCATGAGCCACCATGCCTGACCAAAAAAAAAAAAAAAGTACTTTCTAAAAGCCTTGAAGCCCAGCTACAGATTTATCTATGCCTGCAAATGCCTGTGAACTCCTCACTTTAAGGTCCCAAGATAACCTGGGACTTCTGGGCCTATCAGAAAGTGACATTCCTCACTTATCACAGGTCAGGAACCCTGTACAGGGACTGTGTAGACAAGGCATGAGGCCAGTTTTCCTGAGGGGCTTTTATTGGCTCTATAAGTCCACTTTGATTCCTTAAAGAATGAATGACATTTTAGTGAAAGCCTTGCTAAAATAACCAGTTTCTCCAATTGTGTCCTGTTAGTAAAGAAGACAGATTCTTATTGCACTTATGCAAATAATCATACTGCCATAAGTTGAGAATACTCACAGAAAGTTTCTAAATCCTGAAGAAATCACAGAGGGAAAGCAATATGCTCCAAATGTTGTTCCCAGGAGTACACTTTACTCACTTGTTAAAAGTTGCAAATAGGTCAAAAGAAATAAGTTCTCTTGAGTCTGAAAACAAGAGGATTAGCAATGTTTAACACATCAGCTCTCCATGAGAGTCCTAGAAATTCCATTTATTTCCTCTATTCCAATAGCACAATTTTTAAAGTTATCAGAGATCTGCACTTAGAGTCCTATATCTGATTATAAACCACCTTTTGAAAAGGACCAAAGCAAGACAAAATGTCTGTGGATGACAAAAGTTTTAGGACAGCCACTATTAAAGCTACAATTGACTAGGAATTTTGGTTGCTTTTGTGACATACAACAAATTTACATAACTATAGCTGTTAATAACGTACACTAAATCATATCAAAATTATTGAAGTTTCCCATAATTTTGGAACACGTTCTAATAACATATTTATACAAATACAGCCCAAAGAAAGCCAAGCACCATTTCATATTTGACAATGCTTCCTGTATAATTTTTATACCAAATAAGCCAAACATATCATTTTTGAACTTCTGGGGACCTAATGTCTAAAGGATTAATTAGGTCAGAAAATGACATACTATATAATTTGATTTTAGAAAATCTGTCAACTATCAAAGGTTTAAAACACTGAATATCACAAAATAGAATAACAGGTTATTCATTTATCCAAAGTGGTAACTCAAAAAAATTTTTTTAAAAGGCAAAAACCTTTACTCTGATAGAAGAGACTTAGTTTTCCAAACAAGACCCAGTGAAGACAGAATGAGGCCAACTGAATGTGTCTCTTCTCTCTCCTCCCCTTTTTTCCTCTGCCATTTACCCAAAGGGGCAAACAAAAACCTTTCATTTTCTTTTAATATTACATAAAAATCTTTTTTGAAAGAAAAAACCAGATTTTTTGTTTGCTTTAATGCATCTTTAATGCTAAAACGAGTTTCTAAATAAAACTTTGTAACCCTATCCAGTTTTAATTAGTTTGACTGCTGGGCACAGTGGCTCATGCCTGTAATCCCAGCACTTTGGGAAGCCAAGGTGGGTGGATCACCTGAGGTCGGAAGTTCCAGACCAGCCTGACCAACATGGAGAAACCCCGTCTCTACTAAAGATACAAAATTAGCCGGGCATGGTGGTGCATGGCTGTAATCCCAGTTACTCAGGAGGCTGAGGCAGGAAAATTGCTTGAACCCAGGAGGCAGAGGCAGTAGTGAGCCGAGATCACGCCACTGCACTCCAGCCTGGTGACAGAGTGAGACTCTGTCTCAAAAACAAAACAAAACAAAACAAAACAAAACAAAACTAAACTAAACTTAGTTTGACCATAAGGTAAGATTTTCATAAAGTTTTTGGAACCCTTTACAATTTTTCTGTTAAACAGTAGAACAATTTTCTAAGAAAACCCTGTTATTCAGACACATGGGCCCAGGTTCTGGCCCTGCATTAATGTGCTTGTACTTTAATGTTCAACCAATGGAAAAAAATTAAATTATCCCCTTAAAATCTTAGCCAAATTGCTCATATCCACCAAACTTTCTTTCCAAGACCAATCCTTCACAAACCCTTTTCACCTTGCTTAAACCTTCAGTTTTGTCCCATTACTCTTTTAGGTTAAGACAATCTTTAAAACCCTCTGAACTAGACAAAATTACATTTTAACAAAAGCCACATTCCCATGCCTTCTTATAAGCTTTTACCAAAAACACATTCTACTTTCCTTATGCACCTTGTATGTAAAACTGTCTCTTTAGTAGTCTCAATTGCATGTTACAATGTTAACTTTTAACAACTTTTATTTTTGGGGAAAACCTGATAAGTAAGCTACTTTAATTATGTACTAGGTGTGGAGCCTAGGATGTCAGACAGAAATGAAGATAAGGTTTGTCTCTTTCCAGCATAGCCAGGGGGCATGGTTAACTCCACATGTCCTCAGGCCTCATCTAGAATCTAATGCTCTAAAGGAGGTAAATGGAACAATTTTCAAAAGTCAAAGAAGCAGTTTATGACCTTAAAGCATTTAGCAAATCTGATATCTGACCTTAATTTAGACCAAATGTCTACATTTGGAAGACATTTTCATTTTGTCAATAATCTTTAAAACTGTCTTTATTTCCAAAAGATTACTAAAGTCACATGAACAAAAAGGCATTAAAGTTTCTATTTTTCTGACAAAATATTTGACTTAAGTGCTTATTTTTCTAAGCCAATTAATCAGAGCTCTTTTTATATAAACACCACACACATAACACATATTAATACATAGACAGAAAGAGAGAAGATTCAGCACTTGTAAGATTTTTCATTTACCTGTTTCTGTTTCTTTTCATTTTTTTTTTTTTTTGAGACTGAGTTTTGCTCTTGTTGCCCAGGCTGGAGTGCAATGGCACAATATTGCCTCGCCGCAACCTCCGCCTCCCAGGTTCAAGCGATTCTCCTGCCTCAGCCTCCCGAGTAGCAGGGATTACAGGCATGCACCACCACATCTGGCTAATTTTGTATTTTTAGTAGAGACGGGGTTTCTCCATGTTGGTCAGGCTGGGGGGTCTCGAGCTCCTGACCTCAGGTGATCCACCCACCTCAGCCTCCGAAAGTGCTGGGATTACAGTCATGAGTCACCACACCTAGCCCATTTAGTAGTATCTTAATTGGATTACTGGCTTCAGGGTAGAGCCCTTGGAGGAACAGGGTCAGGAAAGTATGTAGTTTCTAGAGCCCAATAAGCAGGCACAGCTGGAAGGCAAAGACAGATCCCCAAAATTAAGGGTGCCATTTTATACTGGATCCTGGATACCCCAAAAGGAGGGAAATACTATGGGAGAAAATAGTGCAGTGCTTCTACCATGCATTTCATTGCAAGGCAACCCAAAGCTAAACAGTCCATTTTGTAATCAGCTCATCCTCCATTGGAGTCTCTTTCAGTGGGGATTGGGGATGTTTCCATATATTTTAGGTGGCTAAGAGCATGCTTCTCTAATTGAAACATCAAAGAGCTGTGTATCCCCCCATAAATGCCATTAGCCATCCCCAAAAGTATATTTCCTGCCTAGTTAGTACACACCAAGTTTCCCTTATAATGTGAAGTAATTTCTGATACCCACAAAAGTCAAAAGCATCAGTTAAAACAATGCAAAACAGAACAGAGCCTTCGATTTTGAGAGGGATCTATTCTCATTCAATTTCTGGGCTTCTGTGTGGAAAACAGAGGTTTTTCCCAGAATGGGGTCTGTGGTGCCTCCTCTGCTTTTCCCCAGGAGTCCCAGGCTGTTAGAATTTATCTTAGTTTCTCTGATGTGGGTATCAAGAGTGGCAAGAAGACAAAATGGAGAAGAACAATTTAGTCTTCTGAGTAGAAAAAACTTTTTTTCGGAAAAACACGATTCAAGAAGAAAAGAAAGATAAAGTCCTCTTAAATAGATACAGCTTGGATATTTGTTTTTAATTAAGCTGATATTTACTATAGAGCTTTGTTTCTAAAAAAAAAATTATTTTAAGTCTCTTATTACCGACTCTAACCAGGGCAGCCAATATTTCTGGCTTTTGAATTCTACCACAGGTAACTTCCCACATGAAATTAATAAGTTGTAACTAAGGTTATAACTTAACCATGCACGCATAAAGTGTCTCAGAGAGATGGTAAGCAGTTTCTTTTTTTCTACAAGATTTAGAATCTCCCCAAGGGTAGTTTAGAGAAAGGAAAATCCAAGACCGAAAATCAGAAGCTATCCAAGGGGGAAAAACCCTCAACAAATGGCAAAGTTACACAAATAACAAGCCAGAAAGGATTCATTCCAGTAGCCAAGAATTGAACCCAGGCCACCATTGTCAAAAGACAAAGGCTTAGCTACTGAGCTACACAGCATGGAGCAGTTTCTATTGCTCTTCCCAGAAGAAGTCTAGAGTGGCCAATTTCAATCTTGCAAAGGCTCTTAACTGCTCAAGACAATTTTTAGGGCTAACTATGACATGAACCCCCAAATTCTTGTCCTCTGGATGGCAGAAACCAAGAGAAAGTATCCTCATATGGTCACAATGTTAAGCTCTTAAAAACACAAAACTAGACAGAGAAATTTCATTCGGTATTAGTTTCAGGGACCTGGAGAAAAAATTGTAACCGATCACCTTTCTGGGCTGGATGGAAAGCAGGCTTATAGAGGTCCTAAGCACATGTTCTATCCTGTGATACCCCTGTCTCCATTACAGACACATTCTTAGCACAAAGTAAACCAGATTTGCTGCAGCCTAAGACTAGTCTCACAAATCCTTTTATTTCTATTAATCAAACTCTTGCAGAGGAGACAAATAATGATGTTTATCATTACACACACACACACACACACACACACAGAGACACACACGAGAGAGAGAGAGAGAAAGAGAGAGAGAGTAGAAACGTGGCTGGTAAGAATTTCTTACCCTTTTTGCTGGCACACCAGGTTTCTGGGTTTCCTTTCTCTGCAGTTTCCAGAAGAATGGAGCAAGCTTTTGATGGCCCTGCTTGCTGTGCTCAAGCCACCTTACAAAATGAAATTACCCTTTTCTGTTTCATGAAACCATAGGCAAAAGATTCTCAATTTTGCAAGATGCTGCCCAATGGGCTGCATGGGGCATTGAATTAGCATTTTCCATCCCAGTCAAAGCAAAATGCACATAACAAAATGGACACTAGTCACCTTGTTCAGCACCCAATATGGACTTGGCAAGGCTCATACTTTCTCCTGTTGGTCCCTGTTGTCTTTGATCCACTCCAGGTGGGGAGGGATGATCTCTGACTGGTAATTCAATAGGTGGCCTCTGGGCAAGATGAAGAGCAGATACTTGCCCCAACTCAGGCCTGTTGAACTTTCTTCAGGGCTCACCAAATGTGACTAGACAAGTAAGGAGGGTTCTCTGAGTTAGGCCTGGTGGAGTTCTGTCAGTAATTTCTTTTGAAATCCCCTCCACGTATACAAACACACACAAAGACAAAATAGACAGAAGGACTTCCAAATCAAGGTCCTTATCCAAGAATTCCAAGAGTATCCCTTCCAAACTATCCTCCTATTCTCCATTTGAGAACTCTCCCTGAAATCTTCCTGACTGAGAGCTTTCCCAAGACTCTTACTACTAATTAGAGAGAGCCAACCAAGACTCCTGAAGGAGCCAAACCGAGACAGACACTCTACCATGGGGGAGCAGAAAAACTGAGACATCCGAAGGGGCCAAAGTGAGACAGACACCCCTGAATGGGGCCATAGACAGACATCTCACCATAGGGCTACAGAAAAACCAAGACCTCTGAGGGAGCCAAACCAACTGGGAGGAGGAAGGAGGCATTGGCAGCACCTAAAATACTCACCAAACCAGACACCCCATAATGGGGCTACAGCTATAAACACTCCGTGACAGGGCTATAGACAGGTACCCTGTGATAGGACTACAGTTACATATACTCCATTGTGGGGCTACAGACAAAGACACCCCACCATGGGGTACAATTATGGGATGTCTCCCAGGACTATTTCTCTATATCAATGAAGTCCATGCACACTGGGTCAGCAGCACCCTGCCAGAAGAGACAGTACCAGAGTCAACCTTAGTCCAAGAGAACTAGGCCACTTAAGGAATGCACTAGTTGTTCTGAGACTAAAGAGGTATCACACCTTAAAAATAACCAGTTATGAAGCACCTGCATGCTTCAAGAACTGAGTTGCCAGCTATCTGTATTAGTTTGCTAGGGTTGCTGTAACAAGTAAATACAATCCAGGCAGCTTAAGCAACAGAATTTATTGTTTCACAGTTCTGAAGGATAGAAGTTTAAAATCAAGGTGTCAACAGGGTTGGTTCCTTCTGAGGGCTGTGAGGGAATAAGTTCCGGGCCTCTGTCCTTGACTGGCAGATGATCCTTTTTTCCCTGTGGCTCTTCACATCATCTTCCCTCTATGTACACCCGTGTCTAAATTTCCTCTTCTTATAAATACCCCAGTCATATTGGATTAGGGACCACACTGAATGCCTTATTTTAACTTCAGTACCTCTGTAAAACCCCTCTCTAATTAAGGTCACATTGTGAGGTACTGGGAGTTAGGACTTCAACATATAAATTTGGGAGGACACAATTCAACACATAACACTATCTGAAACATTCTCTGGAAAGCTCCTCAAGGAGCTTTCAGCCTAGTATGTGATATATACATTTATTCTCTATCTTCTATTCATTCAACTTTGAATTTAAAGAAAAAACACTCAGTTGCTTTCGTAATGATGATAATATGAAGTATTCACATTGCACTAATTGTAGTTTCAGGTGTGTCTGGTATGGCTGCACTAATTGTAGTTTCAGGTGTGTCTGAAACTACATTGCACTAATTGTAGTAATTGTAATACATTGCACTAATTGTAGTTTTAGTGTAATTGTAGTGTAGTGTAATACATTGCACTAATTGTAGTAATTGTAATACATTGCACTAATTATAGTTTCAGGTGTGTCTGTAGTTTCAGGTAGTGTCAGGTGTGTCTGGCAGTTTCAGGTGTGTCTAAGTTGGTACTTTCTAAAAATAATGATCTTAAATACATGTCTCAATCACTTGAGCTGGCCTCTGGATCCATCACTGGAGGGAGGCTACTGAACCATGGGCAGGTAGCCACAAGGGCAATCCTAGACAAGTCACCAAATTTGCAACTACCCAATGGGTTCACCTTGCCTGCTGCCTAGACAGCTGATTTATCAAGATAGGGGAATTGCAATAAAGAAAGAGTAATTTACACAGAGCTGGCTGTGTGGGAGACTGGAGTTTTATTATTACTCAAATCGGTCTCCAAACATGGTTTTTATTTTTATTTTTTTGAGACAGAGTCTCGCTCTGTGGCCCACCCTGGAGTGCAGGAGGGCAGCCACAGCTCACTGCAGTATCGAACTCCTGGACTCAAGTGACCCTCCCACCTCAGCATCCTGAGTAGCAGTGACTACAGCCATGTGCCACCATGGCTGGCTAACGTTTTTTATTTTTTGTAGAGACAGGATCTTGCTATATTGCCCAGGCTGGTCTTGAACTCCTGAGCTCAAATGATCCTCCTGTCTCGGCCTCCCAAAGTGCTGGGCTTACAGGCATAAGCCACTGCACTCAGCTCCTGCTAACATGGTTTTTAATATATCTTGTGAGCTGACTTACAAGTCTATATCTCAACCCTGACCTTTCCTGTATTTATACTTATTTAACTAACTAGATACAAATTCCTGAGTATTGGCAATGTTTTGGCATTTCATACTATGAAAATAAAAATTCACTTTTGTTGACCAAACTTTAAATTTTGTAACCATATAAATTGGTATTAGGTAGAATTTTTTCATGTCATTACAGAGATATCTTCCTTATAATCTTTATTGAATTTGTTCAATTTAATTAGATATGCAGATTTAAAAGGGAAGAAAATTAGATACATGTGTGAGAAATTAAATAAATATATAACTACAGCTGGATATATCAGATTTAAATCAATTCCCCAATATGAAGGAAACAATAATTGAATTCAAGCAAATATTGAGACATATATTTAAGATAATTATTTTTAGAAAGTACCAACTTGGTATTATACGAAACACAACTGAAACTACAATTCATGCAATTTGAATACTTCATATTATCATCATTACAAAAGCAACTTAGTGTTTTTTCTTTAAATTCAAAGTTGAATAAATAGAAGATAGAGAATAAATGTATATATCACACATTAGGCTGAAAGCTCCTTGAGGGCAGAGAATGTGTTTCAGATAGTGTTTATGTGTTGAATTGTGTCCTCCCAAATTTATATGTTGAAGTCCTAACTCCCGGTACCTCACAATGTGACCTTACTTAGAGAGGGGTTTTACAGAGGTACTGAAGTTAAAATAAGGCATTCAGAGTGGTCCCTAATCCAATATGATTGGGGTACTTATAAGAAGAGGAAATTTAGACATGGGTGTGCATAGAGGGAAGATGATGTGAAGAACCATAGGGAAAAGAGGATCATCTGCCAGTCAAGGACAGAGGCCTGGAAATTATTCCCTCACAGCCCTCAGAAGGAACCAGTCCTGCTGATATCTTAATTTTGGACTTCTATCCTCCAGAACTGTGAAACAATAAATTCTGTTGCTTAAGCTGCCCAGGTTGTGGTTACTTTGTTACAGCAACCCTAGCAAACTAATATAGACATCTGGTGACTCAGTTCTTAAACCATACAGGTGCTTCATAACTGGTTATTTTTAATTTGAGATATCTCTTTTAATCTCATAAAAACTAGTGAATACTTTAAAATTTAAATCAATCAGATGACATGATGGAACAAAATAGTCAATGTAAGTTGGTTACATTAATTGCTTTGGTTGCAAACCGTATTTATGACTTTAAGACAATCTTTTATCTTTCCTTTAACATTAGTATTTGGTTTGTAACATAGCAAACATATAATCTTTTAAAATTGTCTCTTTCTGAAAGTTTTGTATACTTCAATAATAAATCATACCAGACAATAAAACAATAAAATTAGAATACTTGGCTTTCATATTTAACATTCTATGCATTTATCCTTTACCATACCTTTAAGAAAAAAACCTTTTAAAAAAACTTGTCATTTTTCTTGATTAACTTTTTTCTTCCTGAACAAATTTTTCTCTTTTGCTTTACATATTATTTTAGGACAAAGACCCTTTATTGAATAATTATGGTATTTCAGATGCTATGCTACATAACTTCATATTTTGTATCATAGATAATTCTCACAATAACCCAGTGAATTGGGTATTAGTACTTCTGCTTTTTACCTGAGGAAATACAGGATCAGTGAGACTAGGTAACCTGCCCACGGTTATACAGGTAATAAGCAACCAGACCACCAGACCATGGTGTTATCTTGTGTCTTGTTTCTATGCCCAGTGTTCTTTCACCTAAAACTGTGTTTCTAGATATAATTTGACTAGTTTTATGTCAACAAGCCCATCAGTTAAAATATTTTGTCTGTAAGTAATAGAAACCCTGACTCAAACTCATGTAGACAATAAAGAAATTTATTATCTCACATATTAGCAGCTCCAAGGTTAACCTCTTCAATGGCATGAGGATCTAAAGTTGCCCAATTTCTATTCTGCCTACGTCCTATACATTATTGCCACATAAGGTTTATTCTGTGATTGTAGGGTGATCTAGTTTTCAGAAATTCTGTCAACATAATCCTCTACATCGACAAGTCAGCTCTAGCCATTAGGTCTAGACAATGCAATATCTAGAGAAAGAAGAGACAACATTTTGTTCTGCGGCTCCTTCTTAGAAATAAGTAAAATAAATACCTAGAAATATTTACTTAGAAATAAGTAAAATTTCCCTAGAACTCCTAGAAGTCTCTATTTTACAGCTCTTTGGCTACTGTGTTAGCTTTCTACTGCTGTCATAACAAATTACCACACATTTTGTAGCACCAAACCACACTTATTTATTATCTCGCAGTTCTGTAGGTCAGAGTCCTGGGGGGCACAATTGGGTTCTCTATTTAGTGCCTTACAATGCCCAATCCAAAGTGGAGGATGGGCTGGGCTGGGAGGATTTGAGGAAGAATCTACTTCCAAGCTCACTAAGTTCATTGACAAAATCCTGTTCTCTGTGGTTGTAGGATTTTGTCCTTGTTTCCTCGTGGGCTATCAGTTGGGGATTCCTCTCAGCCCCTTGTGGCTCTCTGCATCCCTCATCAGGTGGTTCCCTTGAATCCTTCTCATGCTTCAACTCTCTCTGACTTTCCATTCTGCCATCAGCTGAAGAACCTCTCTGCTTTTAGTGCTTATGTAATTAGATGTGGCCCACCTGGATAATCTCCCTATTTTTAGGTAAGCTGTGCCTTATAACATAACTTAGTCATGAGAGTGCCATCTCATTATATCTGTAGTTTTTAGGAATTTGAATGGGAAATCTCTGGGGAGCCATTTTAGAGTGATGCCTACCACAGCCACAGTTGGGTCCTATGTCCTTTTCTGAACTAATCAATGACAAAGGGAATGAATTACCATAATTTGCTCACATAGTCTTCTGGGATGGAATGGAAATGTTGGGGAATAAACCGCAATGTCCATTATATAACCACATTATAATGCTTCTCTTAAAAGTGTTGAATGGGTTCATATATTCTCTATACCATATATTGATATTTTATTTTTACAAATACTATCATCTGGATAGTACTCTTTTCCTCATTATTTTTCATGATGTTTAATACATGGTGGTTAGAATACTGGTTAAAAATTATTTTAGGAGAGACAAAAAAGAGGCTGTGTAAGTACAGTTTTAGTATTCAAAAACAAAAAATTCTCTCCATCCTATCATGGTAAATTATCTTAAAAAGAGAGAGCTGGCCGTGCACGGTGGCTCATGCCTGTAATCTCAGCACTTTGGGAGGCCGAGGCAGGCGGATCATGAGGTCAGGAGATTGAGACCATCCTGGCTAAAACGATGAAACCCCGTACTAAAAATACAAAAAATTAGGCGGGCATGGTGGCGGGTGCCTGTAGTCCCAGTTACTCGGGAGGCTGAGGCAGGAGAATCGCTTGAACCAGGGAGGTGGAGGTTGCAGTGAGCAGAGGTCATGCCACTGCACTCCAGCCTGGGCGACAAAGCAAGACTCCGTCTCAAAAAAAAAAAAAAAAAAAAAAAAAGAGGGAGAGAGAGCTGATTAACTTGTTGAGCTTATAGATAACAGCAGCATTATGGCTATAATTTGGGTTTCTTACAAGTCTTTCTGTAAAACATTTAATAGGATTATGGCAGATATAGAGAGAATATTAGTCCAGCTGTTATAGATAAGCTGCCTTAGGTACCTGGGAACAACTTCCTGTAAGAAACCGCTGCCCACTTAGTATTACCATTGAGAAACCATTTACAGACACAACCTTCAACAGTCTCCGGTACTTCTTTAAGAGTTCCTCTGTAGGAATTGTAACTTCTTTTCATTCCCCCTCCCCTCCACATCCACCACCCTGCTCTGTCTAGTTTGTTGCAATGTAAAAGAAATCTAGCTGTATACCATGTCCCTCCATTAATATGTAGAATAACTTGCGACAGTGTATTTAGCAAGGTAGATGTCATTTTCTCTACTTCCTCTTTACATGTGAACTTCTAGAAGCTGTTACTTTTGCCCAAGATGATGACTTTCCTCCTAAGAGAAGAGTTTTTCATCAGGCAAGAATATCTAAGTAGGGGCATTTCTCTCTTAGAACCTCTTTCTACCGCTGTTGATTGCACCACCTAGCAGGAGTGTTTGCCATCTAATGGCAAGGTAGGACTACTCCAAGAGCCTAAGCCACAGTTGGAAGATGGTCCAAGTGCAGTGTACATTCTGTTTGTTTGGCTGATGTGCTGTGTCTTATATGTCAAAATGTAGCTTAAGGACTGATAAGTTTTCTGAACTATAAATAATCCCAGGGAATGAAGTGATAGTAAAAACACTGGACAGATCTGGGACTTTTGTGGTAAATATGGTACTTTAAAGGAATAAGAGGTCGACTGAATGCTAAATCAAGTAGACCTTAATCATTTCTGATTGTTTCTAGATCAACTTTTTCATTTTTAGGCTTGAGGAAACTAAGGTCTAAGGCAAGCAGTTAGTAAAAATAAATCAGACTTGTGAGCGTTTAGTCTTTCTAGTACCTTATTTTAAGCATTTGTAGTCAATGGAACCACCAGTTCACTTTATTGTTGGATAGAGTTTTATTATATTATCAGTAATACTATAAAATGTACATTTGATACAAATTAATGTTCAATATCTGTAAGTTTTTGCTGCATTTTATTATAGAGAGATACCTATTTACTTTGGGTAACAAATTATTCATGCAGGGTTGGGATTCTGGTTATTCTGTTAATGAATAAGGATATAAAATGTGGTATATTAGAAATATTATATTTTCAAGAACTTTTACCTTTGTTATATAGGTTTTCTGTCAAATTATTTAAGTGTAACTGTAAAGTTAAATTATTTTATATGTGAATAAAAGGATGAGTGATTTTATTAGCATAAATTGGTGGAATTGTGCCATCTAGTGCCCTTTACTAAAAATAAAAAAACCTTTTTTTTTTAAGATTTATTTTTCAGTTCTAGAATCTCAAAGTTTGAAAATTAAAATAAGTCTAGACATCTATTTGTCTATCCCCTAATATTACAGATAAGAAATATGATTACAAAAATAAAAACAAAATTAGGACACATGTTACTGGAAGAGTGTATTTCAGGCACAGGAAAATATTCTAGCTAATCCCTAGGAATTAGTGTGGTCATTCCAAGCATTTCCTAAGATTTGTTTGCTTCATCTAGTATAACATTCTCTGAGGAGTGTACTAGTGAGGAGGGGACTGAGAAGAGTTGTAAGGAGGCTGAAGACTACTAGATTATGAGATTCTTATTGGAAGGGAGGAAAGATCCACTGGAAGGGAGGAAGGATCCCTTGATGGCTGAAGCCTTTTCTTCCCTTCCTTGCCTTTCCCCTGTCTGCTGTATTGTTACCCCAGACCCTACTATGAGAACTGGGAGAATCAGGGTTGTGTGTGTGTTTTGATAAGAGCAGGAAAAGAGAAGTTAAAGGTTGCATTATGATAAATAGGGGGAATGTGAGAGAGAAGGTAGAGAAAAAACATTTTATTTTAGTATATTGGTAGCTGACACTAATTGGTAGAATGCTTTGCACTTACATATTCCAAGGTTTGTTTGCATGAATTTGAAATTACCTGATTACTTTTGAGACCTAACCTTTATATATTAAAAAAAAAAAGGTGGGGGTGGGAGCTAATAAGGGTAAATTTGAGTACCATATATAGAAGAGTTGTGCAGAAACCTAATGATGTGTAATGAATATCAATTCTTTTCTACTACAAATATGTTAGGAAACATTTCTGCAGCTACCTACCCATATATGTAGGACATATGCACATCACTTATATTAGTTATTACACCTGTTAAATTAGGCTAAAGATTTATCTAGTAACCTTCACTTAACTATTAATCATATACTGTGCTGTGACTTCTATTATGTTCTTGACAGTTTTTGTCTCTTGAATTGTCATTTAATTTATGTTTTTGGGACTTGTGCCAACAACTATATATACATATCTACATTTCTATAGAAATGTTATGCATAACTCTCAATGTCTTGTTCATAGTAGGCAATTAATAAATACTTGTTATTTACTGGGCTTCAATAGAATTTTCCATTACCCTGGAAAAAACATGTTGTCAACAAATCCTTTATATTACAACTGTGAAAATAAAGTATGCTTTATCAAACATCAGAGATTTTACAAGCACTCATGTAACTTAAGGTAATTTTTTTTATTTTTAATTGTGACAAAAAACATATAACATAAAATTTACCATTTTAAAATGTGCAGGTGTCTAAGGTTATGCACATTTACATTGTTGTGCAATGGATCTCCAGAATTTTTTCATCTCATAAAACTGAAACTCTATACTCCTCAAACAGCTCCTCATTTCCTCCCCCACACACCCTGTCCTCTGGCAACCACAATTCTACTTTATGTTTCTATGAACTTGACTACTTTAGATACTTCATATAAGTGGAATTACACAGTATTTGTCTTTTGGTGACTAGCTTATTTCACTTAGTGTAGTGTCCTCAAGGTTTATGCATGCTGTATCATGTGACAGGATTTCCTTCCTTTTTAAGGCTGAATATTATTCAAGGTAATTATTTTTAAAGTACTTAGCCTGAAGTCAGGCTATCCTTAGCCTCTAAATCAATGAGAACTACAAATCAATTTAATACGGTTTGTATATATAATAGAAAAATATAGCTACCTATATTTAGTGAAACACTGTACCATGCTGAGACAGAATCCCAACAATTGAGAATCTCCTAAAACTATAATAAACTCCTTTGGGACCATTATGCAAGACAGTAGCTTTTTACAAATGCCATGTAAATATATTCTTAAACTTTGTTGTCAACAATTTATAAGTTGAGCTACATGAGATTTGAACCTCAATATAGAGTTTCCATTTTTAACATCCTGAATTAAAAGAATGAGAAGTGCCAAATTCATCCATTTTCAGTTTCTAAAAGCACACATCATACTTTAAAAAGACTTTTTATTTATTATTCATTCGACGTTCTTAGAAAGAAAAGTAAAATGCCTTACCATTCCATTCATATTTTTAAAAAGAAAGTACTGCATTTTTTATTGTTTTCCTTATTCTCATACCATTACAAAAATGTTTTTTACATTCTTAGGTGGTTGAAAAGATTTTTTTAAAGAATAATATTTCATGACATGTGAAATCATATGAAATTCAAATTTCAGTGCCCATAAAGTTTTATTGGAAGATAAACACACACCACACAGACTCACACACGAGCAAATTAACATACATACACTAGAAAACATTTCCGGATTCTTTCTTTAGTTCTCCTGATCTATTTGTCTTTTTCTATGCCAATGCCACATTGATTTGATTATAATGGCTTTATAGCCACTGTATCTTCTGATTCATGGAAATCAGAGTTATTCTTCACTATTCTTTTTTTCATACTCTCTATTCCCCCACATTATTATATCAAAAAATCAGAGGGATTCTAATTGGAATTATATATTAGTTTTGGGAGAACTGATATTTTAATATTGTTTTCCTATTTAACTTTGATATCTTTCCATTTGTTCCTATCTTCTTTGTTTAGATTCTATGCCTTTCCTTTGCATAATTCTGTCATTATTTTTGTCTTTATTGAAAATGAGATTTTTTTCCAATTTCCTTTTTAGGTAATTGTTAGGATAGATAAAAACTACTGTTTTTTATATATTTAACTTTAATATGGTCACTGCACTTAATTCTTTTATAATCTTAGGGTAATTTATTACATTTTCCTGTACTGTTTTGGCATCCAATTACATCATAGGCAAAAAGAGATATTTTTATATCTTTCTTTCCAACTAATACCAGTTATTTTACTTAATTTTGTTGTATTCAATGGACACACCACTATTTTAGTATATGTACTGTCGAAGCAAGCATGATACACCATTACTAGATAATAGTAATAATGATAGAGGCATTTCTATTTATTTTTTATTTTAATTGAAATAGTTTTAGTATTTGCTGGTTGGGATAATACTTTATTGATTTTAATTTTTAAGGTATTTTTTATTATATTAAAATAGTATTCCTCAAATTCCATTAAATGTAGAATTATCATTACAAATAGCTCTTTAATTTTATCAAATGCTTTTCCTTTTTTTTTTTTTCACTTTGGGAGGCCTAGGTAGGAGGATCACTCAACTGTCCTTTCTTCATCTATTGATATGAACATATATTATTTTCTTTGATAATTTATTAATGTAGAAGATTATGTAGTGGTTTTCTAAAACTGAATTATCCAGGCAATTAGAGAATTTACTTATTTGGTCTTAATATATTATCATACAAAAGCATTGCTAGATTCTGGTTGCTAATGTTTCATTTTATTTGTTAGATACACATTTATGGTAGAGATTGATTGTATTATTCTTTTTTGGTGGATTCTTGAACATGTTTTAGTATTAAAGTTATATACATTCATGAATAAAATGGAAGGAATTCTTTACAATATGGAATATTTTAAATAACATTGGAATTATCTCTTTTTTAAGTTATGTAAGACTTAGTTGTAATTTTCATCTGGTATTCATGCCTGTTTTTTAGGTAAAATTTTATTTCAGAAAAGTTTTAGATTTTTAGAAAAATTATAAAGTACAGAGAGAAACTCAATCTATAACCCATAGAGAGTTTCTGCTATTTGCTCCTATAGCAGGCAGGAGTTTGAGATTACAGTGAACTATAATGGTACCATGGTATTCCAGCCTGAAAGACAAAGCAAGACCCTGTCTTCAAAAAAAATTTTTTTTTGTGTATGTGTAGATGGAATTAGCAAATAGGAAGAAACAATGAAACAATATTAATACATTATTAACTAAACTCCATACTTTATTTGGATTTCTTTAGTTTTTACCCAATATGCTTTTTCTCTTCTTCACTGCAGCCAACATATTCAGTATTGAATCAGTTTAATTTCTTGGACCTTATTCTTGTTCAAGCTTCATTTTGAAGTTTATTCTGGTATAAGCCAGCAGGGAGAAATGGAAAGAACCTAAATTTTGAACTCCAATAAATCTTAGCTCAAACAAAAATTCCATCTATGGAATTACTAATACAGTAAAATGTTTACATAGTGTGGTTAATTAGCATTAAAACTTTTGGAGGAATTGAGAAATGCTGAACCAAATTATTTCATATTTATATGTAATTATAATTCTGTGTTAACATATTTTTTTTAGTATACTAATTCCAGACTATTGAAGAAATATTTACAATGAGAGATAATGAAAAAGATTTATTTTTCTCATTAAAAAATATTTTCCAATCTTGAAATACTGTGTACCATTCTCATTACTGAACCATAAGGAGGAAATAATAGCTGGGAAATATAGAGAGTAGCCACAGTCATCAAGGAAATAGAAATTTTCATACTATTTGAATTGTTTGAAAAGGAAATTCAAACAATTTTCTTTTTTTTTTTAATTATACTTTAAGTTCTAGGGTACATGTGCACAACGTGCAGGTTTGTTACATATGTATACATGTGCCATATTGGTGTGCTGCACCCATTAACTCGTCATTTACTTTAGGTATATCTCCTAATGCTATCCCTCCCCCCTTCCCCCACCCCACGACAGGCCCCGGTGTGTGATGTTCCCCCTCCTGTGTCCAAGTGTTCTCATAAACAATTTTCTTTTAAGACAGGGTCTTGCTTTGTCTTCCAGGCTGGAGTGCGGTGGTACCATCATAGCTTGCTGTAATCTCAAATTCCTACTTGGCTAATTTTTAATTAAAAAAAAATTTTTGTGTGTGTGCAGGTGGAATCTCCCTATGTTGCCCAGGCTGGTCTTGAACTTCTGGCCTCAAGCAATCCTCCTGCCTGGGCCCCCCAAAGTGCTAGGATTAAGGATTACAGGTGTGAACCACTGCACCTGGCCTCATAGAAACTTTTAAAAGAAAGATTTTTTTTTGTTAAGAATGCAGAATTTTGAGAGACCAATTACCAAATTATGAAGAGTATATAGGTTGCACTTCAGTGTGTAATATTTAGGTAGGATCTGGCCAGAAGACCCACAAACACTGGGGTCCTGCCATTGATCAGCTACCCATCTCTGTGAAGTCCTTGAGGAAAAAGCATTCACTCAGGAGGCAGGCAAGGTAAATAAACAGTGTTTTCCTAGCTGGTACTCAGAAACTCTCCCATAGAGGTCTGCAAATGAGCTAGGAAGGGTGCTATGAAGAACTCCCTTTGTCTAAATTAGGTTACATTCAATGGCTGAAAATCAAATCAGACAGAAAGCATATAAAGCCAGCTTTACCATTTCCATTTCCAATCTCCAAAAATATGTATATTCAAGCAAAGAGTAATGTAGACTACTGCAGACAGAATGGCCAGACAGGGCTTGAAATTCTGCATCAATGCTTACGGCAACCATGGCCTAGACCTGAGTATGCAGTTTGGGTTGATATCCTTGTTTGGATCATCAAGGTCAAATGATGTCCTTAAGGACATAGCGGGCAAATTTACAAGCACCACTGGATTATCATACACAGCACATGAATTTTTCTCTTTCATCTCTGTGACTCTTTCTAATATGTCATAGTAAATATCTAGATCTTCTGAATGGGTATAGGTGGCAGCTTGGAAAATAAGGTTAAAACAACATTGAGAGAATTATGAGGGTTTCTGACAGAATGCAGGGAGAATCGAAGTTGGTGAGATGTTTCCAAAATATTGCAATATTCATTTTCCTACCATTAAAAAAAATCTTTGCCACCTCTCGTTTTGGATTATACGTCTCTTTCCCCATTAGAGAGAGAACACCTGAGGGCAGGGACTTTCTTATGCCTTTGTATCCTCATAACTTAGCAGGGATGGAACCTACAGTATATGCCAATTCGTGTTTTTTAAGTGCATAAATAATTTAGCTAGCTATTGAACAGAAAAAAAGGTACTACAGATACATCCTTGAGAAGCATATAGCCTCGCAAGGAGAGGGTTCCGACCTATATGGCACAATGAAGCCACAGTAAATGTTGCACAGGATTGAGTGGCAAATCGTGTATTACAGAGTATGAAAACTATAAAAACTTGTAGTAGGAACAAATTAACGTACTGTAGACCATTTGGAGGTGAGGTATGATCAAGGTAGGATTTGTCTAAGCCTCTGAGGATATTTATAATCTGGACAGAATTCTTGCTAGAAAAAACAGCCTGCGAGATGCAGAGGTGGATTCTGACATAGATTCCTTAAGCCCCAAGGACAAGCAAGGTTTCTTTTGCCCAAGGTTCAGAATCATTGGTTTGGTGGGGTGGACTGGGCTTTTTCAGTGCCTTCGCTTTGCTTTTTAAATATTGATGAATCAGTATTGTGGTTACCTGGCATACGACAAAAGAGGCAGCTTTCAGTCACTTCCACGGCTTCAGTTGGTGAGCTTTTCGCCTCCTTGCCTGGTGTCCTCATTTCTTTTTTTTTTTTTTTCTTTTTTACCCTTATCTTATTTGTTATTTTTTTTTCTGGGTTCTCCATTTCTTGTCACTGCCCTGAGCCCTGGGTTTGTCTTAGCAGTTTGGACTATCTACAGGTTAAGATCAGAGGTGCCTTTTCTCTGTGAGTACGAGTGGGGCTGCAGTAGAAGCGGGGGAGAGCTTGCGGAACCCCAAGCTCTCTGCTTCATGCTACTGCATTTTTCTTTACTAGGTTCTGTTGAGTCGGGAAGCAGATCAAGGTCAAGTTAGTCCTCACCCTTCCTAACGCGTTTTCTAAGGTTCTTCTGCATACTTAAAAAAGTTCGGGACCTAAGTAGTTACCGGGACCCCAAGAGCTACGAGGTTTAGGCCTGCCTTCTTCAAGGCGCGCCGGGTTCCGGGTAAAAAGAGCCGGGAAAGGGTGGCTGCTCGGTGCGCATGCTCCGAGGGCTCGGCCCAGGAAGGCACCTCCACTTCGCTCCCTAGAGACTGGGCCCGCCTCCTCCCCAGAGACTGGGCCCGCCTCCTCCCCAGGCTTCCGGGCGGAGAGAAGTGGGCGGAGTCAGGGCCGGAAGCACCGGGGCGAGCGTCTAATCCCTAATACCCAATTTTGGTGGCGTGCACCTGGCAAACTGATGATTGTGTGGGACGTCTAATCTCTAGTCGCTCACCCCTCTACTTTACCACAGAGCTAGAAATCGATTTGAGGAAATCTGGTATCAATGAGCGGGCGGGGAGACAACCCCACCCCTAATTTCCCTGTTTACGGAAGTTCTTTCCCGGCCTCCTCAGACTGGTGTCGGCTTCCTTTTTCTCCACACTTCTAGCTACCTTGTTTTTATCGTTTTCGGCACCTGCCCTTCCCCAGCGCCCCCACCACCCCGAGCACTATGTATGATCGGGCTCCCCGCCTGCTCAAATTGGCTGAAGGTGGCAGCACTGAGGCCCATGTGGGTCCTGGATCCTACCAGGTACCTTTCCTGAAGCAGCAGGCGACAGGTAAGATGTAGGAAGAGGCAGAGCTCCTGTGACAGGCATCCTATCTTCAGCCTGCTCCGCTTCTGCGTGCTTGTGAGTTAAACATAGAGCGGAATAGTACCATTTTGTAAACATAACAAAACATGAAGTAGGCAGGGAAAACACTATACTTTTATTTTACAGATGAGACTGATAGTATCACTTGTCCCATTTCAAAAGGCTGGTGAGCATATGGCTAGGACTTTTGATTCCGCAATAGTTGTCTACATCCTACTTTTGATTGTGCAGTTTAGGTCTAGGATTTTGATTTCCTGGCTGTGTTGACATAATATATGAGTCTCCAAATCCTGTGCCCTTACCTCCCGCTGTCTCGTTGCTTTGTAATCCTGCCTGCCTCACATCTTTCCTCCCATTAACCAGAGACATTTATTTATTAAGATGTAGCTTATATTTCTATTTTGCAGTATTATTTAAAGATAGTTCCGTTTTTTTTTCAGACAGATTTTTCTGACCGTCCTCATCTCTTTTAACACACTTCAGGGGAGCCCCTTTTCTCCACATTCTGTAAAGAAAAATTATATTTTTGACCAGTGGAGTGGGGATGGATAATTTAAATAATATTTGCTCTCCTCGTTTGTTTGCAGTTAGTGACTTAGTCAAAAATAAATACATCAATTTTGCTTTCTACTTTTTCTATTCTGGTGATTTTCTGGAGCTTAATACCGTCCAAATGATAGTTTTTCTTAACCTACATTTTCCCCATACCTACACTATGTATTTTCAAGCAAATGCCAGGATCCATTATTCTGTTACATAACTGATCAGATAAGGGAAGGTTTAGGTTTCTTGGGGTGGAGTACAAATTTGACTTCTGTCAGTGTTTCACATGTTGAATTGTACTGCTTCACAGTATCTGGTATCACTATTCTTGCAGCTTATTCTATCTTTATTTTAATGGAGTTGGGCATTATAAGCATTAATTCCCCTAACAATGGCTAACAATGACCCCCTGTGACACTTTGCAATCCTTAATTTTGACATAACTGACCACTTTATTCTTGGAAACACTTCTTTCCAAAATGTAACATCATTTCCTCCTGTTTTTTTTTTTTTTTTTTTTCCCAACTACTGTCTTGGAAGAGTGTCTGGGAACATGATTGGGACCTAATAAACATTTGTTAAATGCCGAATCAGGGCATCATCTTCTCCCCCTCTCCAAGCAGTCCTTCATGGCCTTCTTTAAATGTTTTTATGTTTCTTGTTGATGAAAAGAGTCAAACTCTGTAAAATATTTTAAGAGATTTATTCCGAGCCAAATATGAGTGACCATGGCCTGTGACACAGCCCTCAGGAGGTCCTGAGAACATGTGCCCAAGGTGGTTGGGGTACAGCTTGGCTTTATGTATTTCAGGGAGGCATGAGTTATTAATCAAGTACACTTAATAAATACATTGGCTTTGTTCAGAAAGGCGGGACAACTCAAAGTGGGGGCTTCCAGGCTATAGGTAAATTTAAACATTTTCTGGTTGACAATTGGTTGAGTCTATCTGAAGACTGGCATCAAAAGAAATGTTCAGGTTAAGATACAGGATTGTGGAGACCAAGTTTTGTTGTGCAGAGGAAACTCTCAGATAGCAGACTTCAGAGAGAGGGAGCAGGTTGTAAAATGCTTCTTATCAGACCTAAAAGAGTGCCTGGCTCTTAGTTGATTATCTCCTGCATCTGGAAAGGAAGGAAAACGAAGGGGAAAGGGTATTCTCTATAGAGTGTTGATTTTTCCCACAAGAGACTTTGCAGGGCAATTTCAAGGTATGGCAAGGAAATATATTTTTAGGTAAAACATTTTGATTTTTTTTCCTTGTCTCATAATGTTATGCCAGAGTCAGATTGGAAAGTAAGCCACTATATATAGGATTAAATAAAATCCATCTGATAAGAATGTATAGTTTGTAGGGCGTGACTCCCTAGACCCCTTAGATAGGAATTTGGGCAAAATAAAAAAAATCAGAGCTTAGTCCTCATTTGACACATCTTTAAATGTTTATGTACTGTACTTCCAATCCTTTGCTTGTTACTTTTCTCGTGTGTACTTTCTCATTTGCTATCCATATTCTGATTCTGATGACTCCCAGAAGGAAATCTTAAGAGATACAGGTGATTTATGTCTCTAAGGTGAGCTTTCTCCTAATCTTTCGGCTTTCAACACTGCCAATCACTTTTGTTTGTTTTTCTCTTCTTTTTAATTCTTTTTTTGTTGCTGTTGATGTCCTTGAGTCATAACCAGTTACTTTTTTGAACATCTCTACCTAGATGGTCTCCGGTATCTGAAGTTTTAAGTGTCTGAGCTCATAATTTTTTCCAGCAATACTGGTCCCTTTTAAAATTTTTTTCCAGCAATACTGGTCCCTTTTTAAAAATTCCCTATTAGTCTATAATAAACTTTAAGTTTTGGAATTATTCTAGACTCTTTTCTCCCTGACTACTCCTGTTGATCATTAACACCTAATGATTCTATCTTCTCAGTGCCTGTTTGATTAGTTCCTCTTTTCCATTTAGCTGTCCTTGACTTAGTTCAAGCTCTCATTATTTCTATTTTGAATTAAACATATAAAATATTACTTGTTTTTCCTTATTTCAGTCTTCAATCCATCTTCTATCTTGTGGCAAGAGTGATCTTTCTAAGATATATTACATTATTTGTGAAAAAAAAATCCTTTGTAATATCAAGGTTAACATCTAAACTCCTTAATGTTGTTTATAATGTTCTTCATGTTCTGGGCCCTGACCTCATCTCCCACACCTCCACCTCCACCTGACCTACATTTCAGCAATTTCAACTTTACAGTTTTCCTAAGTTCATGCTCACTCACCTCTGTGCCTCTGTATCTGCTGATACATTTGTCCAGTACACTGTTTTCTTTCTTCACTTGGCTAATTTGTATTTATTCTTTGAGATTCAGCTAAAGTGAAGTTGTTCACTGACTACTCTTTCTCAGGTTTTTCTTCTCTGACTCCTTAATGACCTTTATAGCACTTTGATTCTATATTGTAATTAATGTTAACTTATCTGGCAGACCCACTAAAATGTGAGCTGCTTGAGGGCAATAACCACGATCTTTACTCCATTATTCCTAGTTTTTAGGTGAATACCATAACACATAAGTTCAAAAACAAACAGTAATCTTGAAATAAAATTAAAATATAATGAGCCACATATAGCGTAATTTAAAACTCTTGTAACTTGTAACTTTGCTTAGAGAGAAGTAAGGAGCGTGTGGTAAAACCCTTTTACTGTTTTATAGGATAGTGTCTTGTTGATCTATGAGATAAAGTAGGAAATTCCATGCTGGGGAAATTTGAGCAGCTGCATCCTATACATTTTGTTTTAGCAATACTAAGAATATGCTGATAATCAATAGAAGGAACAGGTATCTCTTTAGTGATTTCTCTGCTGGATTCTCTGAAAGATAATTTAAAAGTAGCTACCATCTCTTTCCTAGGTACAAACTACCTCACCTACCTTTAGGACCAGTAACACGTTGGACTATGCAGAAGTGTACAATTATTTCAGCTAAGGGTCAGGTTCATTTTATGGAGTATGATGTGAGAAGAACAGATGTAGGGACTTTATATAACTTACTTGTTATTTTGAATTTCACAAGAGGAAAAGACCTTAGAGCCTTAGATACAGATACTCTTTATTTCCAACCGTTCTCTCCTAACTGCTGTTCTCCCACTGTCCCCTCACTGTAGCCTGCTTGGCCAGGCCAGTCCTTCAGGGTATTGTCTCTACATTTTCCCCAGGAAATTCTTTTTACCTTAATTGAAACTCGATTTCCGTGGCTGTAGGCCATTTGATCAGGGAGAATCTCTCCTACCCAGGAATTTCAACCTGAAGGGACAGGACTAAGCTGCTTTTCTTTCTGCTTTCATGAGGTAGGAGAGAGTGGATACTCAAATTCGAGATTAGTGAGAGCTATGCCTGAATTTCTTAAGATTACCTGAGAAGCAAACATCTCTTATTAAAGTAAATATTCCCCAGAGACAACCAGCCTAGTATAATGTGATAAAAACATACTCCTTTTACTAATGTGACTACTCCTGGCATTATCGTGCCAAGGAGTATTTCATTGCTTTTTGGCTTATTTATGTAATAAATATCAGCTGTATATCAGTTATATCTATTGGTTCTCTATTAGTTAGCTAAGCTGGGTGACATCATCTCCTAAAAATATTCTTTCCCAGATTTCTTTTTTGGTGGGGGAGTGGTTAGCTTTATCTGCCACAGAAGGATAAGCTGGCTATGGTCTCATACCTGTGCCTATGTGCTTATGCCAACAATGATAATTTTTTCTTATTTGCCTATCAGAATATAGCTGCATCAGGGAATGCAATCTATCTTTTTTAAAGTTTAGATAATAATATGTATGTGATTGCTGTATATGTTGTTGTCCTGAAGATGAGTACATATTTCAAAGATCTAATTACTGCTTATATGTGAAAAATGCCGTTTTCTTTGTTTTGTGGCTGTAGTTGTGACTATAGAATTGGTCCTTTAATCACATACTGCCCACCTTCTTTCTCAGCGTAGACTGACTTTTATTGCTTCATACCAGTTTGATTTATCTTCCTCTGTTGGTGCCTCAAACTCAATATATCCCAAACTGAACTCATTTCTTTCTTCTCAAATCTCCTCTTCTATACACTTAATTTCTTCTTTCTGTCAGTTTGATTTATAATTTGTAGTTAGCACTTCACTTGTCAATATATCCATATGTCCCATATCAAACTCTACCATCTCTAATTCCCCAGAACACTCTTCTATATTTTATACTTTAATTATTGGCAGTGATTTTTGTAGCATAATTGTCTATTTGTCAGGCTTACCCACTACTTGAGGGCAGAGTTTTATCTTATTCATTATTGTACTCTCACTGCCTATCATACATGCATGTCTCCCATACATAATAAAACATTCACTATTACAGAATGGATGACTAGTTTAGAATATCATTTGTTAATTGGTCACCCTCACTGTAAACATTAGGCACACAGCTATGAATAAATAAACAGGTAAGTTCCTTCTCTCATGGAGTGTATCATTATAAACATTTAAATTTTTTGTAGTTTTACTTGTGCTCAATATTTCTCGTATACTTTTATTGACAAAAGATTCTATATAATTAATTTTGGAAAACTTCAATGAAGATTTTATGAGTACCAGCTTTCTTGATTCTCTTTATTGCCCAATTATTTCATATATATGTATACTCTACCATTAATAATATTAATAATATGTTGAGTACATGGCTAGTGTATTTTTTTTAACTTTTATATGAATTTCAGTACTCTGCAACTAATTTTACATTTGTTTAAGGTAGATTCATTTAGGGGCCCTGCTGTGTTCTGATGCCAACTACCTCAGAAGTAGCCTGGGTTTCACTTTCTTAGTTTTCATATTTATCTCAGATTACCTTAGTGTTCATATGAACCTAAACTTAAAACCCTTTTATTGTGAGATAGAATACTTACATAGAAAATCACATAAAATATAAATGTAGACCTTAAAAAGAAGATATTCAGTTAAAAAATAGATCTGCCATCAGTGGGAAGAGGAAAACAAAAACAAAAAGCAAAAGAAAACAGAAATAGAACATTGCCAAAATTTTCTTTTTGGCCTTTTTTATTTCAATGTTTTCTTTCTGCCCTACAGTTAAACACTATCCTGATTATTATGGTAATAACTTCCTTGCTTTTCTTTATGAATTGTTAAATACTGTTGATGAAATGACCCCTTTATCATTATGAAGTATATCTTTTATCCCTGTTATTCCTTGTTCTAAAGCCAGCTTTGTCTGATTTTAATATAGGCACTCCAGCTTTTTGGATTCATGGATGCATGTTATAACTTTTTCCATCCTTTTAATTTCTGTTTTTATGTCTTAAGAGAGTTTCTTATAGACAGCATAAAGTTTGGTCTTACTTTTTTATTCAATCTGACAATCTCCGCCTTTTAACTGAGGTGTTTAGAACTTTTATAGTTAATTTCACTATCAGTATCTTCGGGTTTTAATATGCTCTTTTGCTATTTGCTTTCCATTTATCTCATCTGTTCTTTTTCCTTTTTCCCTACTTTTGTTGCAGGAATAAAGGTTTTTAAAAAATAATTCTTTTTTTATGTCCACTATTGGCTTATTTGCTATACCTCTCTTGTTTTATTTTTAAGTGGTTGCCTAGGGTTTACAATATGTATTTCTAATTTATTGCAGTCTACCTTCAAATAATATTGTACCACTTCATATATAGTAAATAAGCCTCACAAAGTATGCTTCCATTTCTCCCAGCTCACCCTTTGTCCTATTGTGGTTGTACATTTTACTTCTACATCTGCTATAATGCCTCAATAAATTGAGACTATTTTTTGCTTTAAGCAATTGCAGACAGTCCTTTACTTATGATGATTCAACTTACATTTTTTTAAAATTTTGCACAATGGTGTGAAAGTAATATGCATTCAGTAGAAACCAAACTTCCAGTACCCACACAACCATTCTATTTTTCACTTTCAGTACAGTATTCAATAAATTACATAAGATATTCAACATTTTATTATAAAATAGTCTTTGTGTTAGGTAATTTTCCCCAACGTTAGGCTAATGTAAGTGTTCTGAGCATGTTAAGCTAAACTAATCTATGCTATTATAGGTTACGTATATTACATGCAGTTTCAATTTACTATATTTTCAAATTACAATGGTTTTATTGGGAAGTAACTCCATCACAGGTCAAGGAGCACCTTATTTTTTAAAGGGATTAAGAATTGAGAAAAAATGTATTTTATTAATCCACAAACATTTGTTATTAATTTCATCTAGTGTATTTTTTGTTTTATAAGTTTGATTTGGGTCTTTTTTATATCTTCCCTTTATCTTCTCATCATGTTCATCTTTTTTCTACCTTGTTGAATATATAAAGGATATTTATAATAGATTATATATAGTATTCTTGTCTGCTAATTCCACCTTTTCATTTCTCAATCTGTTTCTTTTCATTGACTTTTCTCCTCTTTATGGGTCATATTTTCCTGAGTCTTGAAAGTACACTCTCTGGTAATTTGTATGATTCATTTTATATGTAGTTTGAGTGTGTATGTGTGTGTATTTATATATGTATTTGGAATGAAATCTGGTTCTTGTTCTCTGGCTATTTACCCTGAGTAAGTAGAATGTTTCATTGGTGTCCTGAATTTCTCAGCTCTACCAGACAACTGTTGCCTTTTCAAAATGAACCTTGGCTTACTTTTAAGGATTTCTGGTCTTGTGGTCTTTGTAACTTATTTGAAGGTCAGTCTGCCTTCTTTCCTCCCTTTCCCTTCCTTTTACCTTTCCCTCTCCTCTTCCCTTCTTCTCTGATTTGGGATAACCAGCTAAAACCATCAGTCACTAAATTAACACCTTGAATTTTAACATCATCCATGAAGTTTTTCCTGATCATCTCAATGTGGATGAGAACTTCTCTTCTTTCTGAATTTGCATGTGTCTTCCATTATGGCATTAGAGATGTTTTTCCTTTTTTAAAATTATTTCAATACTTTTCTCAATGCTTCAAGATATTACTTTTTTAGAGGTAAGATCTATATTTTGCTCACCTCTTTTATGTTGCAATACCTAACACAAATAAATAATTCTTGACATTGGTTGCATTTTAATACATGTGGGCCTCAAAAGAAACACATTATTTTATTTTAAATAGAGTATCTTTTATTATTAGTCCAGATTAGCAAGATTTTTTACTATATTGATTATCACCATACATTCTTACAGTAGCACACATTTTCCTTTAGTATACAAGATTTAGTGCAAAAGTTTTGAGTCTTCACTTGCATTCTTTTATTACCTGTTTGAATATAGCTGCTGCTCTATTCTCTCCCATCTCTTCTTTGATATCCACATTGCTTAAACACTAATAATTTTTCCAATACAGATCTTGAATTTTTTAGTACCAGTTTTTCAGTAGAGTGTTCAAGTTTGTATAATCTTATAATTACTTGTTCCAAAGAAATTTGTGTCTTGTATTTGTAAACCTTTGTTTAGGGTCAGCCAATCAAGAAATATTTACTGATACAAACTATGTGCCTAGGCAAGGAGACATGACCAATTATCTGCTGTAAACCCACTTTAAATTATTTCCATCTAGGGTGTCTTTACAAGTTTATATATGATGTTTTCTGCAAATAATATATGCTATTTAAAAATATAAAACAATGGTCTTCTGAGGATGAAAATGTTTTATCAGCTAAATATAATTGCCATTTTCATCCCCACCAAAAGTGATTAGAAGATAAGAGTGCTTTATTTTCTTTAGTTTTTTTTTTGTTGTTGTTCAATAAGTCAAGTTCTTTAGGTTCTTATATTTAATATATTAATAAAAATTCTGATCTTATATCAGATTTTAAAAAATGTAATAACTTCTCTGACTAGACAGTTCTGAAAATAAAGTCTTAACAATTGAGGATACTCATGATTATATATATTTTGAGCGTTTTTCTCTGAAATCCTTGGACTCTTATCTTATCTGCTGGTCATATGATTTTATTTTTATAGGTAGTAATGCACCATTTCTTTCTTTGACTGCCAGAGAAAGTACTTTTACCATTGCCTCTAGCATTGAGAAAGCTGTTCCAGGTCCAGGACACTATAATGTTTCAGAAGCACAGGTAACTTTATAGTTACTATAATTGACTTAATAAAACCATGTTTTCTTCCCTGAATAGACCAAATGTCATTTGTTGTATTTTATTTTCTGCTTATATTGTCTTCTTTCACTTTCAATTTATATTTTATAATTTGAATAATAGAAAATAAATTTATTCAATGTTGGTTGCATGATTGGGTTGGATGTTTTTCATTATTCTACATATTCTATAAGACACAAAACATTGTTACATGCTATATGGTCCTTGAGAATGAGAGAATAGGACTCTTGAATGAATTATGGCCCATGGAAGTTGTGCAGATAGTAAAAATGCGTAGAAGAGGAATGGCATTAGAGTGAAAGAATTGGTTTTTGTGCCATGCTTTAAAGCTATAGCCATTGCCATTGTCTCATCTGTCTCCTGTTTCTGCACAGTCTCAAGAATCTGTGACCAGATTATCTTCAATGGTTCATTCATGTTTAGAAATAGTAGATATAACTCTGATATCTTCATAGTCATGAGTATCACCTTTTGCCATTTTCACATAAATTTTGCATTTATATGTATTGGCTCCTAGCTGATCCCAGCAGACCTTTAACTCACCTGTTGGAGGCTCAGATAAAGTCCTTGTTGAAGTGATCGATATAGATGCAGGTTGCAGTTTGATTTGTATGATCATAGAGCCTATGGTAATGGCTTTTAAATTATCAAAATTTGGAAAGTTCTCTTTTCACAGGATTTTACTTTTTGTTCAACTTGTTAGTGTTTTTGTAAAATAAATCATTAAAGTTATTTTTATACATCTATTCTTTAAACATAGAAATTCTGATCTTTTTAAAATAGTAATCAAGTAGTGAATTGCCTATTTAAAAATAAAATTTGACTCAGTTTTTAAAAGAAGGCCTCCTTGGTATATTTCTTAAAAGCTGAGTGAAGTTGAATAAGGTACCCGCTAGAGATAGGCTCTGTGAACGGTGACTGTGAACAACTGGACATGTGAAAAGGGCTATTTGTAGATCAATGACTTAAAATCTTAGCTGATCAATCAAATGCCAGCCACTGTTATCATAAATCATCTTTTTGAAATGATTGCACTGTAATTGTTTACAGGAATCTTTATGATGTAATTTCACCCAAATTAATTGGATATTAGTCAATTGATAATTTTCAGATTCTGGAGAATCCAGATAGGTAGCATGGAGAGCCCTGGAAGATTCCACTCAAATGTTTGCTCTGTAATAAACAATGTTTAAAATTAATCTGAACATAAAACCAAGCTGTTGCTAATAAGTCTTTATAATTTTTTCTGGAAATGACCAAAATGTTATTCATGAAAATAATTAACACTAAACAACCTTGAAAGGTTTGCTTTTTCCCTGCAATATGAATGCCAACTTTTTTTTTTTTTTTTTTTTTTTTAGTTCATTTCAGGGGTAAAAATTTTTCTAAGGGCCTTTATTCTTGCTCTACAGCTTTACGAATTCCCATCTCTGATTTCTGTTTTAAAAACAGTTTTCTTGCACTCTCTCAAAGTGCTCCAAGTACAGCAAATTTTAGTTTTGAGTTTCAAGTTAAAACTGACAACTATAATTGCTATCTTCTCTTACTATCCCCTTTTACTAGAACTATATCCTCAGTCAATAGTAAACTTTCTTAGCTTGCATTTTAAAAATATTTTCTGATAATGATTAATATTTATCAAGTAGAAATTAATTGTAAAGTGCTTCTTTTATATATCAGAAGGTTTTTTTCCCTCCATTTTAGTGTAACATAAAAGGAGGCCATAGTCTACAAAACCGGGAGAAACGTTTTAAGAAGTTTATTTCAGATAATCCAGGACCAGCAAGCTATGATCAGTTTTATCCTAGAACACAAGATATCATGAACAGAAAAGTATTAGAGACCAGAGAGCATCTTCAGTCAGTACGTTTATATTTTAAATTATACTTGTTAATGACATTTTTTAGTTAAAATAGTAAAGGTTTAATATTTTATGTGATATGAAGTACATTTAAAAAGCCTTCCTATAAAAATTTATTAGTGTTTACATTTTAGTTATTTTATAAGTAAATAAACTTTAGTTTTTAACTGTATTCATATCTAACTTCATTTTTTGCTCCTAGCAAATCTATAGTCACTTTCAACATCTGTGGTGAATAAAAAGTAAGGGAAATTTTACAAACTACCTGAGTGGTTTACCTATGTATAGAGGAAACTCTGTGTTAGTACTGTTAATAATATATTTCCTTCCTGGTGGCAAGGAAGGAAAAAATATAAATAATATAAGTTAAAAATATGATTCCTGAAGTAAAAAAGCTTAAAATTTATATGGGAGGTAGACAAATAGGTAGCTGCTAATTCAAGACAAAATGTGACAGTTGCTAAATGAATGATCATGTAATGAAATGCCATAGGAATTTAAAGGTGGACTACTATATTATGTGAAGGCATAATTTATGGAAGATTTATAGAGGAGGTGGGTTTTGACATGGCATTGAAGAATAGAGTTGGAATCTGGATCCCAAACTGGAGTATTACATGAGTGAAGATACAGAAGTGGGATTTTTATGGAAGGTAGTGAGAAGGTTATTTTAATTGAAATGAAGAATTTGTGCAGAATACTAGTATGTGGTATGTTTAGAAAGGTACATTGGGTGCTATATAATTAATAATTTTTACATCAAAGGCTACCTCTTTGAAATAAATGCTATTATTGAGCAGATTTGGTCACTGTTTGTTTAGAGTGGTTCCTTCTCTTGTCATAACTTTTTCATGTAGCTCATATTACATTTTAATCAGCTTTTTGCTTAGGAAGATATGTTTTAAGGCTAAGTACTTTGTTGAATAATATCAGTGCAATGACAATGAGGTTAAATTTTGTAAGTATATTTAAATTGCAGATATTTCGTGTGTGGGGACAAAGTAAATGTTCATTTACTTAGGGAGTTTATCAAATATATTTTGAGTGACTGTGTGGCCATACATAATGCTAGATGTTGGTAATACATAGAAAAAATCATTGCTTCCTGAGATGTATAATTTTAACAGGAAAATAACGAATGAAATTCAGTATAATACTGTTAATGAAATGCTATCTTAGAGCCATAATACAGTGTTCACTAGTAGCTCAAAGTAGAGAGTCTTTGGAGGGAATGGGGGAAACAAATTGGACCTGATCTTGAAGAAGGATTCACCGAGTAGTTAAAAAGAATGGGAAAAAATAGTAGTTAAAAAGAATGGGAAAAAATATTTTTTCCCACTTTATGTGCAGAAAAAACCACATGAATAAAGACACTGAAGTGTTTGATAGTGTGATATATTCCAGGAAAGAACAAAGTTCTTTAGAATGGAGTACAGGAGCGAAGGGAGAGTTGTAGGAATAGAGACTGGAGGTAGGGGCTATATTTTGGAAAGTCGTTTTTTTTTTGTTTTTTTTTTTTTTTTTTGAGACGGAGTCTCGCTCTGTCTCCCAGGCTGGAGTGCAGTGGCGTGATCTCGGCTCACTGCAAGCTCCACCTCCCGGGTTCACGCCATTCTCCTGCCACAGCTTCTTGAGTAGCTGGGACTACAGGCACCCGCCACCATGCCCGGCTAACTTTTTGTATTTTTAGTAGAGACGGGGTTTCACCGTGTTAGCCAGGATGGTCTCGATCTCCTGACCTTGTGATCCACCCGCCTCGGCCTCCCAAAGTGCTGGGATTACAGGTGTGAGCCACTGCGCCTGGCCTATTTTGGAAAGTTTTGACATCACACAAATTCTTTTTAAATATATGGAAAGGAGGGAAAGCCGTTCAATGGTTTCTTATTTTAATTTGGTAATTAATCCCATAGGTATTACTGAAACTACTTAATGGTTGTCTTTAATTTGATAAAAAATAAAATTCTGGCTGGGTGTGGTGGCTTATGCCTGTAATCCTAGCACTTTGGGAGGCCAGGGAAGTGGGGGCAGATCACTTGTGGCCAAGAGTTTGAGACTAGCCAGGCCAACATGGTGAAACCCTGTCTCTACTAAAAAACTACAAAAATTAGCTAGGCATGGTGGCACATGCCTGTAATCCCAGCTACTTGGGAGGCTGAGGCACGAGAATCACTTGAACCCGGGAGGCAGAGGTTGCAGTGAGCCAAGATCATGCCACTGTACTCCAGCCTGGGCAACACAGTGAGACTTTGTCCCCCGCCCTCCAAAAATTATATTAAAAAAGAAAAACGACTGGGCACGGTGGCTCGTGCCTGTGATCCCAGCAGTTTGGGAGGCTGAGGTGGGCGGATCACCTGACGTCAGGAGTTCAAGACCAGCTTGGCCAACATGGTGAAACCCCATCTCTACTAAAAATACAAAAAAATTAGCCAGGTGTGGTGGCATGTGCCTGTAATCCCAGCTACTTGGGAGACTGAGGCAGGAGAATCGCTTGAACCCAGGAGGCAGAGGTTGCAGTGAGCGGAGATCATGCCACTGCACTCCAGCCTGGGCAACAAGAGCAAAAACTCTGTCTCAGAAAAAAAGAAAAAGAAAATTCTGCCAGTGATAGTACGTTTATAACATAATTCTACATGGGCATGTGAACATGCAACTATAGCATTAATTTATTCATGCAGAAACTTCAGGAATCAATATATTCTTAATAATTTCAGTGTCCCAGTAACTAAATGCTTTAAATGCCAGTACTTTTATTTGATACATTTTATATTAATATTTGTAATATATATTACACCTTCATGTTTTTATTTAAATTATAAAATATTTTCCATTAATCCAAATTTCGATAAAAGGATAATCACCCTAAAACTTCTGACTCTAACATTAATTTTCTGTTAATTTTTGTATAGCTTCTTTTGGTATTAAATTATATATGTATGTGACTTTATACATTTATATATAATTTCACATAACTTAGCTATATTCATAGTTCACTTTTATATTTTGCTATTTCCATTTAGCATTACATCATAGATATTTTCCTGCTATATAGCTTGCATACTTAGGACATTTATACAAGACTCAGGAAATGTGGAAACAAAAAGTCAGGAGCTGGGAAGGAATGAAGCCAGAAAGTATTACTGAAAAATACAAAGTTTGTTTTTGCATAGTAGATAGTATAATAGCATGATTGTTGATGTGAATAGGATTGCCTGTTTTTAGAATTAGTAATGGTGGCTTTACTAAGCAAGATAAATAACTGACCCAAACGAGAAAGAATCTTTGCTTCTTATGATGACTTTAATAGTTATCTATTCTATTCTATTCTAAATTTAATAGAAATACATTCTCTTGGTTTAAAGGTGAAGCAACAGACTTGAATTCACTCCTTTAAATTACTTTTACAAAACATTTTTGGCCAGGCACAGTGGCTCATGCCTGTAATCCCAGCACTTTGGGAGGCCGAGGCTGGCAGATCATTTGAGGTCAGGAGTTCGAGACCAGCCTGGCCAACATGGTAAAACCCTGTCTCTACTAAGAATACAAACATTAGCCAAGCATAGTGGTGCATGCCTGTAGTCCCAGCTACTTGGGAGGCTGAGGTCGAGGGGAGAATCACTTGAACCTGGGAGACAGAGGTTGCAGTGAGCCAAGATTGTACCACTGCACTCCAGCCTGGGTGACAGAGTGAGACCCTATCTCAAAAAAAACAATAACAAAACAAACATTTTTGTTTTATATCATGAAACTCATTAAATCAATATTTAATAGTTGCCTTTTAGTAACTTTTAATATTTGGTTCTTCATTCCCCTTCCTCTTGCCTTGGAATAAATAATATAAAATGTTTTCCTTGCAGAAAATTTCAAGATCACCTACACTTACCAGAAGTGTTGATGTTCCTTCAATTCCTTCTTGTGGAAAGTCATATGGTTATCATATTAATGATGATGGCAGTATTATAAAATGTTTTCCACCTGCTTGTGACAGTACACTTGGTCCAGCATACTACAAACCTCAATTTGTAAGTATAATGTATTTCATATTGACAATTGGAAAATTGTTTATGATTTACATATGGGTTTCTTTTTTTCCTGGCTTATTTCTCCAAGAAAAAAATGATTACACGTTTTAGTTAATGGAACACTAATTGTGGTAACAAATAGACCCCCAAATTTTAGTGGTTTAATACAGTAGAATTATTTTTCCTCATTCACATGGACATTCTCGTTAAGTGACTTTCCTTCATGCTGAGATTCAGGGACACAGGATTATTCCAGTTGTGCTTCTGTCATCCTCTAGGGCCTTGTTGTCAAGTGTATCAAGCTGGCAGAAGAGGATGGGGAATTATGCTTGGAAGTTTTTGTAGGCCAGGCTTGGAGCTATAGCCAGTCACATGGCCATACTTAACTGCCAGGGAGAATGGGAAATATAGTCTGTGTATCTCAGAAGAAGAAGGAATGGGTATAAATTATTAGGAGTCTCTGCCACAGTGTATAATCATAAATAATACATAGATATTATTTTTCTTAATTTGAAAAGAAAAAACATTTTATTTTTAAAAGAATTTGAATCTGAGAATGTAAACATCATTTATTCCAGAAATGATTATTAAAAAAATAAGGAGCTTCTCTCTGACTGAAATATCAGTTACAATATAGCTAATTCATTTCATCCAGAGTTTAAATTTCAAACCTGACCAGAGTTGTCAAGATTTCACTGAGACAGTTGAAATGTATGTGTTATCCATGAATACAGACAATGAAGATAGATGGTATGTCTGATTTTACTCAATTATAAGACAGAAATACATAGTACTTCGAACCTATGGTATTTTTGTGCTTTAATGAGATGTAGAAGAAGTAATTCTAGTGAGGAAAATTCTAAAACTAAGCATATATTTAAGGAAAGGCTGAAGAGACACCTTGGGCAAAGAAAAGGCATTCTCAGTATTTATCTTGATCTTTATTCCCAGTATTCTATAGTTATTTGTTGGTATGTGACTACATCTTTGGGCTTAGACATAAGCACCTTCAAAAACCATTTGGTTTGTGGCAGTAGCTACACTGGGAAGTTTTTGGGGTTTTAGATCCTTTGAACCATTAAAATCTTTTTTCTTAAAACATTTTAATTGTAACTTATTTCAAACACATAGATACTGTGAAAATAGTAATGGATACCTATGTACCCATCACACAGATAAAACACAGGTTAAAATTTCGTCACATTGGAATGAGCTTTATTTTAAAAAAATATGTTATTACGATGTTTGCCCCATTCTCCTGTCTTCATTCCTCTCCCTTTGCCACAATAAACATTAAACCTTCATTACATATTCATATATGAATAATAATATATATTGTTTTATGATTTTAAAAATTTAAATAAATATTATCTGGTGTATATGTTGCTTGGTTTTTTGCTTACTGTTATATTTTCCAGATATAACCGTATGAGTATATTAGATCTAATTCATTCATTGTTCCCAGTTAGATGTTTCTTTTTAAAAAATAATTTAATATTTTGAAATAGTTTCAGACTTATAGAAAAACTTACAATAATAATAATCCTATCCTTCACTCAGATCCTGCAGGTGTTAACATTTTATCACATTTGTTGTATCATTTTTTCTCCCCATATATTTATATTATTATTTTTATTAAATCATCTGGGAGTACATTTTGGATATGACGCCTCTTTACCCCTAAGTAGTTCAGTGTAAGTGTTCTAATAACAAGACATTAAACACTAGCTGAAGATGGCCAATTAGAAGCAGCTGTGGTCTGTGGCTCTCACTGAGAAGAATGAAAATGGCAAGTGAATTCACCTTCAACTAAGGTATCCAGGTTCTCTCATTGGGACTGACTAGGCGGTTGGTGCAACCCACAGAGAGTGAGGAAAAGCAGAGTGGGGTGATGATGGCCCACCTGGGAGCTGCATGGGGCAAGGGGAGCTCCCTTCCCTAGCCAAAGGAGGCAGTGAGTGATTGTGTTACCCTGTCCAGGAAACTACACTTTTCTCATGGATCTTTGCAACTCATGGACCAGGAGATCCCCTCGTGAGCCCACACCACCCGGGCCTTGGATCCCCAAGCACAGAGCTGTGCAGGCTGACGGGGGCCACTCAGGTTGGCAGCCACTCAGGCATGTGGCCACTTGGGCAGGCACTGAGATGCAGGAGTTGTTTTTCATACTCTGGCCCAGGGAATTCTGGTGAGGCAGGAGATCATCCACTCCTGTAGGAAGGGGGCTGAAGCCAGGGAACCAAGCAGCATCATTCAGTGGGCCCCCCTCCCATGGAACCTCACTAGCTAAGACCCACTGGCTTGGAATCTCTGCTGCCTAGCAGCAGCAGGCTGGAGACTGCCTAAGATGACTGAGTTCCCCAGGGGAGGGGTGGCTGCCATCTCTGCAGCTACAGTTGGCTGTTTTCTTCTGCCAGTGCCAGAGAGACTGGTCTGTACTGGGAAGAATTCCCCACACCACGGCACAGTGGGTGTGGCAGACTATAGCCAGACTGCTTCAAGTGGGACCCTGATCCATCCCTCATCACTGGTCAGGGCCTCCCCATGGGAATTTCAGCAACTCCAGCCAGGGGTTTATGGACAGGACTCTGATCTCCCTGGGACAGAGCCCCTGGCGGGAGGGGCAGCCACAATCTCTGCAGTGCACTGTATTTACTCTTTCCTGCCAGCTGGCCCTGGAGAGTCTGGACAGTCTAGACAAGGGGGATTCATCCCAGTTCAGCACACCTGCTCTGCCAAGGAGTGGCCAGACTGCTTCTTTAAGCAGGTCCCTGATCTTGTTCCTCCTGTCTGGGTGAGACCTTCCAATAGGGGTTGCCAGACACCTCATACAGGAGTGTTCCAGCTGGCATCAGGTCGGTGCCCTCTGGGACAGAGCTTCTAGAGGAAAGAGCATGCTGTCATCTTTGCTGTTTTGCAGCCCCCATTTGTGATGCCTCCAGGTGGGGGAGGGACCTAGGCAAATAGGGTGTGGACCCCCAGAAAACTGCAGCCCTACAGAGGAGGGCCCTGATGTTAAGAGACAAACAAACAGCAACAACAACAACATCAACAAAAAAGACCCCACAAAAAACCCCATCCAAAGGTCCAGCAGCCTCAAAGATCAAAAGAAGATAAGCCCACAAAGATGAGAAAGAATCAATGCAAAAATGCTGAAAACTCAAAAAGCCACCATGCCTTTTCTCCTCCAAATGATTGCAATACCTCTTCAGCAAGGACACAGAACTGGGCTGAGACTGAGATGGATGAATTGATAGAAGTAGGCTTCAGAAGGTGGGCAATAATGAACTTCACTGAACGAAAGGAGCATGTTCTACCCAATGCAAAGAAACTAAGAACCATGATAAAACTATAGGAGCTGCTAACCAGAATAACAAGTTTAAAGAGAAACATAAACACCTTGATGGAGCTGAAAAACACAACATGAAAACTTCACAGTGCAATCACAAGTGTCAATAGCCAAACAAACCAAGTGGAGAAAAGAATCTCAGAGTTGAAGAGTATCTTGTTGCAATAAGACAGGCAGACATGATTAGAGAAAAAGAAATGGAAAGGAATGAACAAAACCTCTGAAAAATGTGGGATTATGTAAAAAGACTGAACCTATGACTGACTGGCATACATGAAAGAGATGGGGAGAATGGAACCAAGTTGGAAAACATACCTTGGGATATCATCCTAGAGAACTTCCCCAAACTAGCAAGGCAGGCTGACATTCAAATTCAGGAAATCCAGAGAACCCCAGTAAGATACTACATGAGATAAACCCAAAGACACATAATCATCAGATTATCCAAGGTCAAAATGAAAGAAAACATGTTAAGGGGCAGTCAGAGAGAAAGGCCAAGTCACCTACAAAGGGAAGCCCATCAGAGAAAGAGTGGACCTCTCAGCAGAAACCCTACAAGCTAGAAGAGATTGGGGGCCAATATTCAACATTCTGAAAGAAAAGAATTTCCAACCCAGAATTTCATATTTGGCCAAACTAAGCTTCATAAGTGAAGGAGAAATAAAATCCTTTACAGACAATCAAATGCTGAGGGAATTTGTCACCACCAGGCCTGCCTTATCAGAGCTCCTGAAGGAAGCACTACATATGGAAAGAAAAAACCGTTACTGGCCACTACACAAACACACTGAAGTTCACAGGCCAATGACACTGTGAAGCAACTACATAAAGGAGTCTGCAAAATGACTGGCTAGCATCATGATGACAGGATCAAATTTATACATAACAATGTTAACCTTAAATGTAAATGGACTAAATGCCCCAATAAAAGACACAGAATAGCAGGCCACATAAACAGTCAAGATCCATCGGTGTGCTGTATTCAAGAGACCTATCTCAGGCAAAGACACACACAGGCTCAAAATAAAGGGATGGAGGAACATTTACCAAGCTAATGGAAAACAGAAAAAAGCAAGGGTTGTAATCCTAGTTTCTGACAAAACAGACTTTAAACCAACAAAGATCAAAAAAGATAAGGGCATTATATAATGGCAAAGGATTCAAGTCAACAAGAAGAGCTAAGTATTCTAAAAATATATGGGCCCAATACAGGAGAACCCAGATTCATAAAGCAAGTTCTTAGAGACCTACAAAGAGACTTAGATTCCCACACAATAATAGTGGGAGACTTTGACATCTCACTAGCAATATTAGATCATCAAGACAGAACATTAACAAAGGTATTCAGGACCTGAAGTGAGCTCTAAATCACCTGGACCTGATAGATATCTACAGAACTCTCTACCCCAAAACAACAGAATATACGTTCTTCTCGGCACTACATGGCACTTTATCTAAAATTGATCACATAATTGGAAGCAAAACACTCCTGAGCAAATGAAAAGAACTGAAATCATAATGAACAGTCTCTCAGACAACAGCGTAATCAAAATAGAACTAAAGATTTAAAAAGTCACTCAAAACCACACGACTATATGGAAATTGAACAACCTGCTTCTGAATGACTCCTGGGTAAATAATGAAATTAAGGCATAAATCAAGAAGTTCTTTGAAACTAAAGAGAACAAAGAGACAATGTACCAGAATCTCTGAGATGCAGCTAAAGCAGTGTTAAGAGCGAATTTATAGAAATAAATGCCCACATTAAAAAGCTAGAAAGATCTCAAATCTACACTCTAACATTACAACTAAAAGAACTAGAGAATCGAGAGCAAACAAACCCTAAAGCTAGCAGAAGACAAGAAATATTATCAGAATGGTACTGAAGGAGATAGAGACATGAAAAACCCTTCAAAAAATCAATGAACCCAGAAGCTATTTTTTGAAATTAATAAAATAGATAGACTGATAACTAGAATAACAAAGAAGAAAAGAGAGAAGAATCAAATAGACACAATCAGAAATGATAAAGGAGATCTCATCACTGACCCCACAGAAATACAAACAACCATCAGAGGATACTATAAACACCTCTGTGCAAATGAACTACAAAAATCTAGAAGAAATGGATAAATTCCTGGATGCATACACCCTCCCAAGACTGAACCAGGAAGAAGTTGAATCGCTGAATAGACCAATAATGAGTTCTGAAATCGAAGCAGTAATAATGAGTTCTGAAATCGAGGCCTACCAACCGAAAAAAGCCCAGGACCAGACAGATTTACAGCTAAATTCTACTAGAGGTACAAAGAGGAGCTGATACTACTTCTTCTGAAACTATTCCAAAAAAAATGAAAAGGAGGGACTCCTCCTTAACTCATTTTCTGAGGCCAGCATCATCCTGATACCAAAACCTGGCAGAGAGATAACAAAAAAAGAAAACTGTAGGCCAATATCCCTGATGAGCATTGATGCAAAAAATCCTCAAAAAATACTGGCAAGCCAAATCCAGCAGCCCATCAAAAAGCTTATCCACCATGATCAAGTTGCAAGGTTGGTTCAACATATGCAAATTAATAAATGTAATTCATCATGTAAACAGAACTAAATACAAAAATCACATGATTATCTTGATAGACACAGAAAAGGCCTTTGATAAAATTCAACATCCTTTCATGTTAAAAACTCTCAATAAACTACATATTGAAGGAACATACCTCAAAATAATAAGAGCCATATATGACAAACCCACAGCCGATATACTAAATGGGCAAAACCTGGGAGCATTCCTTTTGAAAACTGGCACAAGACAATGATGCCCTCTCTCACCACTCCTATTCAACATAGTATTGGAAGTTTTGGCCAGGGAAATCAGGCAAGAGAGAGACATAAAGTTTATTCAAATAAGAAGAGAGGAAGTCAAATTATCTTTGTTTGCAGGTGACATGATTCTACATCTAGAAAGCCCAATTGTCTCAGCCCAAAAGCCTCTTAAGCTGATAAGCAACTTTAGCAAAATCTCAGGATGCAAAATCAGTGTGCAAAAATCACAGGCATTTGGTCGAGTGTGGTGGCTCACGCTTGTAGTCCCAGCACTTTGGGAGGCTGATGCGGGTGGATCACGAGGTCAAGAGATTGAGACCATCCTGGCCAACATGGTGAAACTCCGTCTGTACTAAAAATACAAAAATTAGCTTGGCATGGTGATGCACGCCTGTAGTCCCAGCTACTTGGGAGGCTGAGGCAGCAGAATTGCTTGAACCCTGGAGGTGGAAGTTGCAGTGAGCCGAGATCATGCCACTGCACTCCAGCCTAGTGACAGAGTGAGACTCTGTCACACACACACACACAAAAAAAATCACAGGCATTCCTATACACCAACAAGAGACAAGCAGAGAGCTAAATCATAAATGAACTCCCTTTCACAATTGCTACCAAAATAATAAAATACCTAGGAATACAGCTAACAAGGGAAGTGAAGGACCTCTTCAAGTAGAACTACAAACCTCTGCTCAAGGAAGCCAGAACGGACACAAACAAATGAAAAAACATTGCATGTTCATGGATAGGAAGAATCCATATCATGAAAAAGGCTATATTGCCTAAAGTAATTTATAGATTCAATGCTATTTTCTTTAAACTACCATTGACATTCTTCACAGAATTAGTAAAAGCTATTTTAAAATTCATATGGAACCAAAAGAGTCTGTATAGCCAAGACAATCCTAAGCAAAAAGAACAAAACTAGAGGCATCACACTAGCTGACTTCAACCTATATTACAAGGCTACATTAACCAAAACAGCTTGGTCCTGGTAGAAAAACAGAAATGTAGACCAATGGAACAGAATATAGAACTCAGAAATAACATTGCATATCTGATCTTCAACAAACCTGACAAAAACAAGCAATGGGGAAAGGATTCCCTATTTAATAAATTGTGCTGGGAGAACTGGCTAGCTATATGCAGAGAACTGAAACTGGACCCCTTCTTTATGCCTTATACAAAAATTAGCTCAAGATATGGATTAAAGAAATGTAAAATCCAAAACTATAAAAATCCTAGAAGAAAATCTGAGCAATACCATTGAGAACATAGGCACAGGCAAAAATTTCATGACAGAAATGCTAAAAGCAATTGACACAGAAGCAAAAATTGACAACTGGGACCTAATTAAAGAGCTGCTGCACAGCAAAAGAAACTTATCATCAGCACAAACAGACAACCTACAGAATGGGAGAAAATTTTTGCAATCTATCCATTTGACAGAGGTCTAATATCCAAAGTCTATAGGGAACTTAACCAAATTTACAATAAAAAACAACCCCAGTAAAAAAGGGGCAAAGGACATGAACAGACACTCCTCAAAAGAAGATATTTGTGTAGCCAACAAGCATATACAAAAAAGCTCATCACTGATCATTAGAGGAATGCAAACCAAAACCACAATGAGATACCATCTCACACCAGTCAGAATGGCGATTATTAAAAAGTCAAGAAACAACAGATGCTGGCAAGGTTGCAGAGAAATAGGAATGCCTTTACACTGTTGGTGGAAATGTAAATTAGGTCAATCATTGTGGAAGACAGTGTGGTGATTCCTCAGAGATCTAGAAGCAGAAATACCACTTGACCCAGCAATCTTATTACTGGGTATATACCCAGAGGAATATAAATCACTCTATTATAAAGATACTTGTGGCTGGGCGTGGTGGCTCATGCCTGTAATCCCTGCACTTTGGAAGGCCGAGGCAGGTGGATCATGAGGTCAGGAGTTCAAGACCAGCCTGATCAATATGGTGAAACCCCGTCTCTACTAAAAATACAAACATTAGCCAGGTGTGGTACCATGCACCTGTAGTCCCAGTTACTCGGGAGGCTGAGGCAGAAGAATCGCTTGAACCTGGGAGGTAGAGGTTGCAGTGAGCTAAGATTGAGCCACTGTACTCCAGCCTGGGTGACAGAGCAAGACTCCATTTCAAACAAAAACAAAAACAAAAACAAAAAAAATGCATGAATATGTTCATTCCAGCACTATTCACAATAGTAAAGCCATGGAATCAACCCAACTGCCATCAATGATAGACTGGATAAAGAAAATGTGACACATATACGCCATGGAATACTATACAGCCATAAAAAGGATTGACCATAAAAAGGAACAATGTCATGTCCTTTGCAGGGACATGGATGGAGCTGGAAGCCATTATCCTCAGCAAATAACACAGGAACAGAAGTCCAAACACAACATGTTCTTATAAGTGGGAGCTAAATGATGAGAGCACATGGGCACAAGGAGGGGAACAACACACACTGGGGCCCATTGGGGGTAGGTTTGGGGGATGGAGAGCATCAGAAAAAAATAGCTAATGCATGTGGGGCTTAATATGCAGCAAACCACCATGGCACATGTTTACCTATGTAACAAACCTGCACATTCTGCTGATATACCCTGGAACTTAAAAAAAAAAAGGCATTCTTTTTTATAACCATAATGCAGTTATCAAAATCAGGGCATTTCATTCATTATTATGAAAAATATTGCTAATTACCTCAATTGTATCTTTTATAGAAAAAAAGATTTTTGATTCAGAGTTCAGTCTGATATTACATGTTGCATTTAGTTGCATGTCTCTTTAGAATCTCTTAATTTGGAACAGTTCTTCAGTATTTGTCTTCTTTAATCTTTACTTTTTTTTTGAAGAGTACAGTTTATTTATTTTGTAGAATATGCTTCAGTTATGGGTTTGTATATATTATGAATATCTGAAGGTTTGTTTAATATTTTGGCAGGAGTACTATAGAAGTGATAGGTTCTTAATATATCATGTTAAGAGTAACAAGGTATTTATCTCATAAATGATTATGTTAACTTGAGGTGGTGACTTCTAGTTTTAACTCATGTAAAGTGAATATTTTTTGAGGATTACTTTAAGACTAAATAGATATTTCATTCCTCATCAAACTCTTACCTATTTCTCATCAAACTCTCACTTAATAGTTTTAACATCTATTGATGATTCCTGAACCAGTTTTACCATGATGCTTATCAAATGGTGATTTTCTAACTCTATTTTTTAACCTTTATTTGTTGGCATTTTACTATAAAGAAGAGCTTTATTTTTTCCCCATTTATATATTTATATCAGTATGGATTTGTGAATTCCTATTTTACTCAAAGTGCTATAATTTATTTCTTTATTGTTTATTTTGAGGCATTAGTGATTCCAGATTTGACCCTTGGGAGCCTTGTAAGCCACTTTTTGTGTCCTTTTGACATGTTCATATCATTCTTTGAAAATTTCCTTACTTTCTGGCATAAAAAGATATTCCAGGTTCATTTTATTCATTTGCTTGCCTGAGCCTTGCAATCAGCCACTTCTTTAAGGAGCCCTACTTCCATAGCAGCAGAATGTATTTCAAAGTAAGATCTGTATACTAGGTACATGCATTGTTACTGGGTGTTATGGCTTCTAGGTCATCTCAATGGACAGAGTAAGAAATCTATACTTCTTCTTTGTCTGTTAAAACCTGTGAGTTTATACATATACCTCCAATTTCAGTCTAACACTACAGGTTTATTCTAGACTTTCTCTTTCCATATTTGACTCGCTACTTCCACAGTAAGAAACCTAGCTCCCATTATCCAGAATTATGTACCTATTTGCTTAATCCCATAGTACATTGAAAGTAGTTTTAGAATTGGTAAACTATCACTGCAAAAAAAAGAGTTGAGATTCTACAAGCTCTTACCTTTGGGTGACCTTGAGGCTCTACACAAGCAGGAAGTGATGGCTAAACACAGATTTGTAAATTGACCGCTTGAGCATTAAAATTATGCCTCAACACATGTACAGAGGGCCTTGGCAAAGGTTGGAGATTTATTGGTTCAAGGCACTTAAGAAAATTTTTGTCCAGACATTACCTGACCACTCAGCTAATTAGGCTGAGATTTCAGTGTACAAAGAATACAGAGTTTAGAGAATTAGTCTTGGAAAATCACTAAACAAACCCTCAGGGTAGGAATTCTGATCTTCATAGTTGTCACATTATATCATACAAAATATCTGGTTTCAGCAAAGAATTTTGAGACATGCAAATAATAAAAAAATGGCCCATATACAGAAAAAGAAATTGTTCTTGAGGAAGCCAAGGCATTAGACTTCTTAGATAAAATTTTTAAATTAGCTATTTTAAATATGTTCAAAGAAATAAAGCAAACTATGTCTGAAGAACTAAATGGAAGTATAAGAATAGTGCCTTACCCAATAGAGAGCATCAATAAAGAGATAGAAATTATAAAAACAAACCGAGTAGAAATCTGGATTTGAAAATTACAATAATGGAAATGAAAAACTTTCTAGAGGAGCCCAAAAGAAAATTTGAATTGGCTGAAGAAAGAATCAGTTAACTTGAAGACATGTCAATTGATATTATGCAGTCTGATGAACAGAAAGAAAATAGGATGAAGAAGAGTATTCAGAGCCTCAGAGATCTAGGGGACACTGTCGAGTATACCAACATACACATAATGGGAATCCCAGAAGCGGAGGAGAAAGAGGAAGGAGAAAAGAGAATATTTGAAGAAATCATGGCTGAAAACATCCCAAATTTGATGAAAAAACATTACAGAAAGAAGAAGCTCAACAAACTCTAAGTAAGATTAATGCAAAGAGATGCACACCTAGACACATCACAGTCAAGCTGTTGAAAGCCAAAGACAAAAAGAAAATCTTGAGGGCAGCAAGAAAAAAGTGACATATCATATAGAAGGAATCCTCCAAAAGGTTAATAGAAATCATGAGGTCAGAGGGAGGGGGATGACTTATTCAAAGTGTTGAAAAAACAGACTGCCAATCAAGAATTCCAGAATCAGCAAAGCTATTCCTTGAAAATAAAGGAGAAATTAAGACATTTTCAGATAAATGGAAGCTGACAGAATTTGTTGCTGGCACACCCCCTAAAAGAAATACCAAATGGAGTCTTCAGGCTGAAATGAAATGTTATCAGACAATAACTCAAATTCACATAAATAATTAAAGAACAATGATAAAGGTAAATATATAAGCCAGTATTATTTAATTTTTGATTTTTAAGTTTTTAGAAGAATTCCTATTGATTATGGAACAAACTAGAAATAATACATTTTGTGTTTAAATACAGTAGTAGGCAGATATTTTAAGACTAATGGATTGTTTCATGCTATAAAACTTTTGAAGAACCAGATTAATTCTGGTAACATGAAAAGTAAGGATAATATAAGTTACATGTTTCCTTTTCTAACCATAAGAATTCCCATTTCTTTCTGGCCATGGGAGTTTTTGTCTCAAGAATATTTCATTCTCTCTCTCTATGACATACCTGGTCTTCTAGGCCTTGACTGTCCCATCATCCTATTAATAACAATGTGACAATTAATCTTCATTAAGATATTTAAGTATCTTAAATATTTGAGTAAGATATTCTTATGTGAACAATAGGTTCAATTCTGTAAAAACTCCAGTGAAATGGTCTTATGATTTGATATTAGGATATTCTCCCCAAGGTGACGGACAAGTTATGCAAAGAAGTGTAATGGAGCCAGACTTCCTGGTTATGTGTCCTGACTCTACCACTTAATAGTTATTAGTCCTTGGCCAAGTTACTTAATCTTTGTGCTCAGTTTCCTTACCTAAAATATCCTGAGAAAAATAACTATGGTCTAACATATTGGAATAAGTATTCTTCACAATTAGTCATAGATTCTTGGCTTTAGCTTAATAATTCCCTAATCACTCATAACTTACATCTCAAAATGTAATTCTTGCTTTAAGCTATTTTTTTTTTGTTTCAGAATAATGTGTCATCTATTAGAAGGCCACAATGATGCCTCCAAGCTTCCCTGCATGTATAAAATCCTTTCCCCACATGAATAAGCATTACTTAGACATATAAAACTTGATTACTTCCTGGCTAAATTATTATTTATAGAAATAAGGAAGAAGAAGAAGACATTTATTTGATGACCTAATTTATTTGATGGCCTAATTTAATAAGTATTGAATCAATACAACTTATTATTTATTTATTGGAATAAAAATCTAGATGTAATTTAAAAACATATAAAAACGTAGTTTTCTGTATCAGTTAAAGACATAGTTCATAATATTCAAGAAGATTCAGCAAAGTTTAATACAAACGGAATTGTGATATTTTTTGAAATCCTCATCTTGTATTTGAGAGAACTAGAGATAGCGTGGCAAAGCTCAGTAGCTGAAGGCTTTATTTTCTTCTGTTTCTCCTGCAGAAAAACACAGGTTCTTCACAAACTACTGCCAAATTGATACTGTAATAATGTTAATTCAAATCTTATCTGAATTTTCGATAATTCTGGGTAACTCTTTGCTTGCTTTTTGAAATAATATTTAATACTATATGTGGGTTTAGTTTCCAGAGGTGCATATTGATAGAAAATTAAGAAAATAATCCAATAGATGGGTAATTATTGTGATTCTTTCTTAACTGGTGAATCACATCTGCTGAAGCTGTCTAATAAAGCTTAAATACAGAATTAAGAGTTGTGTAAGACTCTAAGTGACAAATGTTAAACTTTAGCTAAATTTAATTTGTGAAGAGAAATTCTACAAAAAAGTTATTTTATATAACATTTTGAATGATAAAGTTTAGCTTCTTTCTTCTTTTAGAAGAGCCCAGGTAACTATTAGAAATCTATTTTTCAGAGGTGTATTTCACAAGCAAAGTTTGTGATTGGAATGATGATACTGACATATTTGCTAATGATAACATGCTGGGAACTACCTGTGTGCTGCCACACTGGAAAACAGTTCATTAGTGTTTGAATTATTGCACTTTGGGCCTTTTAATTCTTCACAAATTCTATTTCCATATTTAATTATGGAAAGACATGGGGGAAAGTTGCATAGCCCCATCTTCATTTATTTAATTGTCAGTGAGAGTGGCAGTTAGTAATTCTTCTTCAAATTATAATATAGCATTTACTTAAAATAATGCAGTTCCATGCTGAGTTTGCTTCAATTAAGTCATATTTTATTTGCTAATGATTTTCAAAATTGACAGTGACCTTGAAGTTGGTATTGCCAACACTTCTTGACATAAAAGAAACTGTAATTTAGAGATAAGAGTGCATCAATTTATCCTTTGTTTTCTGTCTGTATTTTTAAAAGCCTTTTAAATTTCTGATTCAACATCTACCTGAGTACCGCAGAGGTTAATGAGTTAAGTACTTGTCAATTCATGTGGTTTAAATGAAATGGATATTATTGTAGACACACACACACACACACACACACACAAAAAAAAAAAAATGGATATTATTGTGGGGTCTTAAATTGTGTGTGTGTGCACATGTACACATACATAATCTTTCCTCCTACTGGATTACTATTAGAATTGTGAAACAATTGAATCATAAAATCTCAATAATGTAAATTCACTTAAAGAAAGCTTCTTCAATAGAATCCTGCTCAAGGTCTTGAATCCTTGCATTAAAAGAGTTAATACAAAACCTTAACATGATTTTAGGCTATAAAAATGTGATGTAAAAGATGACATCAAAATGCTGTATTTTAAAATACTGATTTTTTGACAAATGTATAGGCTATAGTAAATCAACATATTAGATATGTTCTTGTGTGAAATATATACAATGTCTAAAATATCCAGCATGACTATATTATATTAGAATGTAGTTTCACATTTTGTACTTCACTGTCTGTTATGGTCATAATATAGTAGAAAAAAATATGCACAATTATGATGTTCTGCTTTATTTCTGAGTTAAAAATAAACTCTAACATAAATGGGAAATTTCATTCTTTCTGCCATCAAAACTGCCTATGTACTTTAAAATCCATGGTTGTATTAGGTAATTGCATTTGAAAGGTGATCTGGAGCACTTACTTTAGCAAGAGAAAGTGTTGTTTGGCTAGGTTCTCTCTCTTCCTTAAGTTCTGTTTGGCACAGCAGTCTTTGGAATTGCCACTGACCCTATAAGAAGAGGAGAGAGGAGTGTTTTCAACTACTCTAGTGGATGCTAGGGTTTCTCCGTGCTCTTTTACTGGCATGTACTGCTGTGCTGGACATGTCAGACTCTGCCACTTTTGTAAGTCATTCTGCTAAGTTTTATAGCATTTGTCTCTGCCCCCCTACACCCACCAAACCCAATGCCTTTGGATGGTCTGACTCCCTTATTTCCTTTTGTGTTATACTTAGGAATTCCAAAGTAGTGTATATATACCCTATGTGTTGCAGAGATTTGTGGGATAGCTCTTTCAGTTTTTATTCATAGCTTTGTTCCTTCAAGGACATGACAAGGGGCTGGGCTTTGGAATTGTGTATCAAATTAGAATCCCTACTTGTAATAATAATAATAATGCTATTAAGAATAATAATATATTACTTTGAGATAGTGCTTTATAAGACTGTCACTCATCACTCAGTGTTAAAGCTGAATGTCCATAGTGAAGAAGGGCAAATGCCTTTCTGCTCTTTGTGTTGCAGCAGAAGGGATTTGCAGATCAATAATTCAAGCCCACTGAGACCACGTACAGTGCTGGAAATATTCCTAGAGGAAATAAGGATTAATCCTTTTTATTTATATAACACATTTTCCCAGGCTTCATTGGATTGGAGTTACTAAAGAGAGTTGCAATAATGTTAATAACTTAAATACCATTTTTTTTTGTCTGTAACTATCAATGTAGAGGACATATAGCCTTTTGCAAAGTTCTTCTACCCATGTATTTCTAGACATCCCTGGGGGCTGTCTCAGCTATGCTCCCGAATAAGTCTCTTTCCATTGAGTACAGCTGCTGTTCCACCAGGCACTTCAGTCTCTTGCCATATGGTGCTCTCTGCTGGGCATTTCCACCAATGTTCTCTTTCACAGCTAAAGCTGCCGGATTAGCTGGGATAAAGTAGGGGGAGGATGATGATGTCTTTCTTCGTGTTATACTCTGTTAGAAAGGTTCAAAAGTAGTGCAGGTTTTTTTTTTTCTTTTAGCCAATATTTTAATGAAACAGTTGTTTTAGTTTTTTTTTTTTTTCATAGTTTCTTCACACTCAAAAGGATATGAGGCATAAAGTCATTGAGGATTGTCTGTGTTAGAACGCAAACCCAGTTGACAGAAAATCCCCAGTATTTAGCATTGCCACTCTTTTGACACTAAGATTTTCTTACTAGGTGTGGGGCATCATGATTATCTCCTTCTTCTCATAGGATTAGTTTTTACATTTGCCTTTTGGTTGTTTTGCTTTGTTCACCAGGTATTCCAAAACATGTCTGAATTCTACTTGGACATAGCAGACGACTTCTTGTTTCTCTCTTCTCAGCTCCAATATTCTCTACCACCAAAGAAAGAAACAATCAAGGGGATTTACTAAAATCAAAGCAGGATAACTCTTTAGAAAAACTATAATTTTCTGTACACGTTTGCATCTATGAAAAAAGAATCAACAAAGGTCTCATTTTACTTCATGCAAACATTAAAGTTCTGTCAGAGGTTGTGTTAGTCTTTGTATTAGGATTCTGCAGAGAAACAGAACCAATGCTTACACAGTCATGTGTCAATCAATGATAGGGATACGTCCTAAGAAATGCATTGTTAGGTGATTTTGTCATTGTGTGAACATCATAGAGTATATTTACACAAATCTAGATGGTATAGTCTATGACACACCTAAGCTATATGGTATAGCCCATTGTTTCTGTGGTTCAAGCCTGAATAGCATGTTATTGTACTGTCTGGTACAGATTACAAAGATACAGATACACAATGGTATTTGTGTATCTAAATACATCTAAACATTGAAAGGGAACAATAAATATATGGTGTTATAATCTTACGGGCTCACCATTGTATATCTGGTCCATTGTCATATATGCAGTCCATCATTGAAACATCATTATGTGGTACATAACTATATATGTGAGATGGGGTTTATTCTGGGAATTGGCTCATGTGATTATGGAGGCTGAGAAGTCCCATGATATGCTGTCTGCAAGCTGGAGAAATAAGGGAGCTGGTGGAGTAGCTGAGTTCAAGTCTGAAGGCCTGAGAACCACGGGAGCTGATGGTATAACTCTTAGTCCAAGGATAAAAGCCTGAGAACCTGAGGGGCTGCTGGGGAAAGTCCAAGAATCCAAAGGCTAGAAAACCTGGAGTTCTGATGTCCGAAGGTAGGAGAAGATGGGCATCTCAGATCCAGAAAAGAGAACAAATTTACCTTTCTTCTGTCTTTTTGTTCTATCTGGGCCCTCAGCTGATTGAAAGGTGCCCACGACATTGGGTGAGGATGGTTCACTGATTCAAATGCCTATCTATTCTGGAAACAGCCTCAAATACATACCCAGAAATAACACTTTATCAGCTATGTGAGTATTCCTTAACTCAGTCAAATTGACATCTAAAGTTGACCATCACAATCCGCATTTAATTTTTTCAGGCCAGGCAGATGTAGAAGGGAAAGTTAATTCTATTGTGCTTATATATTATAATGTGTGGGGGCTAGGTGTTAGTGGTAAGTTCAAGGAATTTTAGTGTGCGCCAGCTTCTTTTTGGATTTTGTTGTGGCACCTCAAAGCTTTCTGGAGTGGTGCCTCTCTAACTAGAAAGTCACTAGGGGCAGGGGAAAGTGCTTTCAATTTAGTTTCAACTACATCTGCCAATAATAAAGTGGAGGTTAGCATTCTCCTCATCACTTAATGTAATGGCACTGGTGCACATCTCCAAAGGTGCTAGTAGTTTTGAGAATTGCCCCCTACTCGCTACCTAAGAGTTTATCTCCAGTTTCTGTTTTTTTGGGGATGTTAAGAGGGTTCAGCTGAGACTCTTTTCAAATGTAATGAGGTCCTTTTCTGGTTCTGGGGATGTTAAGAGGGTTCAGCTGAGACTCTTTTCAAATGTAATGAGGTCCTTTTCTGGTTCTGGGGATGTTAAGTGGGTTCAGCTGAGACTCTTTTCATATGTAATGAGGTCCTTTTCTGGTTCTAGTCTTTGCTGTGCTATATCTTCCAGAAAGTCCTTAAAGTTTCTGGCATGTGAAGTTTCTAGCACTTACTTGTGTCTATTTGATATACTTCTTTTAAAATTTTGGAGTCGGGTGGGGCAGGTATGGATTTGATTCACCATTTTGTACTGAAATTATGCTTTTGTCACTAATGTTGCTACTTACTGCATTATTATTGCTTATAATGGTAACTGAGAGAGGTTGGTTCCACTGCTGTAGAATAGTAATAGCCACCTAGAACAACTTAGCGGTTACAAATCCTTATGGGTATGCAGCCAGCTCAATTCTTGCCTCCTCATAAGAGAGAATTCAATCGAGGGGCATAAGGCAGAGTGAGAGACCAAGGCAAGTTTTAGAGTGGGAGTAAAAATTTATTAAAAAGGAAGTAAAGAACACTTGGAAGAGGGCCCAGCAGGTGATTTGAGAGATCAAGTGCATGGATTGACCTTTTAACTTTGGGTTTTGTATGTTGGCATGCTTCCAGGGTCTTGCATTACTTGTCCCCTGAGTCTTTCCTTGGGGTGGGCTGTTCACATGCTCAGTGGCTTTCTAGCACTTGAGAGGGGCCACGTGTGCAGTGTGTTTACTGGAGTTGTACACATGCTCACTTGAGGCATTCTTACCTTTCCAGTTGAATGCGCCTAGAGGGTCATATGCTGGTTAAACACGGCCATTTTGCCTTTTAGTGTGCATGTGTGAGCCCATTCGCGCAACTCCTGAGATGTTATCTGGAAGCTGCTGATCACCAGCTTCAGGATTTTTCTCTTGGGAGACTGCCTTTCCCTGGTGCCAGCTGCAATGAATTATTATTTTAGACTGTTAACAACTGCCTGACCATCACCTGATGGTCGCCTGACATTCTTGGCTGGGGGGGCTCTCTCTTACCCTGCTCATGTCAGGCTGTCTACCTGCTGTAACAACTTGACACATTGTTAAACTATATGTTATGGAAATTATAGTAAATACCATTAGCTTAAAAATATGTTTTAAAATATTCTTAAATGATTTCTCAACTAAGAATGTTTTAGGTCAAGAGGATTCCTGTAAAAAAGAAGCTACTGTTGTGTTATGCTTTATTGTTTTAGTTTCTGGTGAAACAGTGTGCTTAAACTTTTTATGGTTCATGCTTAATTTTAACATTTATTGTAGTGGGTATAAAGGAAAGATGATTATTTCTCATGTCACAAATAATTTCTCTGTCATTAAAAGACTGATCCTGTCTTTAAGCATTAGCAATAAAATGAACTAGGGTAGTGTTTAATTTATTGTTAAGTATTTCTAACTCTGTTTAAAGGTTACATTAATATGAAGTTATGTAATGACCATTGGTGATGTTTGCATTTTTTCAATCTGTTTAGTTAAGGTAATTTTTAATAGGTATTTCTATTTCCCAAATAATGTTATCCCCTCTCTCTTTTTTAAATGATGAGGAGCTAATTTTCATTTTTCTTAAGGTTTTAGATTACTGGGTGTACTGCCAAGAGCAAAGCTGTTCATATTGGTTGAGAATATGCTAATGTTAGAGGTACTTCTCTGGGAACCCTAGCTGACTCAGGAGTGGAATGGGAACCAACAGTGACAACTTAGCCTGGGATCTATCCAAGAGCACTTTAGCATTTACCAGTGGAACCCCCTTACTGAGGCTATCCTTGCTTTAGATTTAGACTTAGGTAAAGCCAAACATTGTTTCATGACTTATTTAAACTATGTTTCATCCTCACTTTTTAAAACTTTTTATTTTTTAGGATGTTTCCAATGCAACTTTGAAATACAAAGGTATACATTTTGGCAACTCTTCAGGAAGACAAGAGTTACCTAAAAAGTCAGGTCCTGGTCCAGGACAGTATGATATAGTCCAGTAAGTAAAAAAATATAGTATACCTTTAATGTAGCTCTTGACTAGAAAAGTATTTTAATAATTCAGACTAGGCTATGCTGTAAAGAAAGGAAAAATTAGTATGAAAAACTCCAAGAAGTATTACATTTTGGTGTAATGTATATGAAAGTTATTGATTTTTTAAATTATACTTTAAGTTTTGGGATACATGTGCAGAACATGCAGGCTTGTTACATGGGTATACATGTGCCATAGTGTTTTGCTGCACCCATCAACCCATCATCTATATTAGGTATTTCTCCTAATGCTATCTCTCCCCTAGCCCCCCATCCCCCCAAGTTAATTGTTTTTTTATAAGCCAAATCTTGTGCTATCTACTATATATGCATTAACTCATTTAATCTTCACAGCAAGCTTTGCATAGTTAATATTGTTACATCTATTTTATCAGTAAAAAATGCAAGGGTTAGAGGGGATAAATAACATGTTCAAGATCATGCAGCTATTAAATGGCAGAGCTAAAGTTAAATTGAAGCCCGTTTGATTATACAGCACATGTAGCCATGTACTAAAATATACTGTCCTTAATTATAAAGTAGATAAAAGATCAGAGAAAATGTAAAAGAAGGTGACCCAGAATTCTCCATTTTATCCCTGGCTCTCATCTTCAGTCCTCTGACTACATGATGGATTTAGAAGGCATTCTCAGTCAGTGTAAGTCCGAGAATATTTATGAAGAAATACATTTCTGGCAAAATAACTCTATTTTCTCCTACTGCCACAGTCAGGTTTTAGACATGAGTTCATGGAAGGCAAAATTGAGTAACAAATACCACGTTGTCCTCAGAATCTACTACCCTTTCTTATAATTAATTTTTTAAGGGTCCAGCTTATCTGCCTGATTCTTTTTCTTTCATAGCATAAATTTTCTCCCAAGAAGCCCCAGAGTGATTACGTACTCAATTAATTTGCTAGACAGATCAGATATTTCTGTTTACTAGCAGTGGATGTATTTTAGGATCTTGCTTGGACTCCCCTGCTACTGTTCATTCATTGAGTAAACATTGTTTGAATTCTTGCTATGTGCCAGTTCTGAACTTAGTAACTGAGAATAACAAGAATAAAACATGGCGTTTGTTTTTGGGAATTTATACTCTAATCCATTATGCTGTTCACTTTTTCACTCTCTTAATATGGAATATATACCTTTGTATTTTTATTCTTTTAGTAGTTATGCTAGAACCTTAACATGCATATTTAGCTTAATTAAGTCTTTACTTAATATTATTATTATTATTCCAAGCAAGACAAGGTCTGTAGAATACTCTAACACATATCATAGTCTTCTTGACATATGCTTTTGTTCTTCAGTATTTTAATCCTATCCTTTTCTTCTGCCATATTGGCTGATTTGTGCTCATGCTCTCTCTCTCTCACCGTCTCTCTTTCCCCTCTTCTCAGTTTTATTGAGGTTTAAATAGCATAAATCAAAATTCATCTTTTAAAATGTATATCATTCTGTGATGATTGTTTTCATTCCATTTCACTATACTTCTGCCTGAGTACCCCAGGCATACCCGGGACTGTAAGCAGTGTTAACTGATTCTGCTTGGTGGTTTTTCCTACCAGTCTGTTTTACTTCTCAACCTTGTCCCACTCTCATTCCTCCCCCATTTGTTGTGCTGTTGCTTTATTTGATCTTTGTTATTTCTCCTGTTTTTCCTCTTCTTCCATTTGTGTTTTAACCTGAAGAAATGTATGAATATGGATTTCATTCCTGACTGCTTCAGTTACTTCACCGTTTTTGTAATTTGTTTGCTCTTTGAGTTAGCTGCTTTCACTGTATCTTTGACTTGTAGTTGTCTCAGTTCCTTCTGGCAGTTGATATTTTCTACTTGTTTTTTTCTTTCTTAGACTTTTTGTTTTATTTAGTGAGTCAGAATTATTCTTGGAGGCTTGATTCAGTATAAAAGTGGAGATATTTGGTTACTCTAAATGAAAGATAAGTGTATAGGTCTCTTTTTGGTAAAGATACAGACCTAAATGATATGTGACATTTCTGATATTCCACATATAAATTTCTTATCCATAAACCTTTCTGAGGTTTGAAAGCGGTTTATTTGTTGAGTTTTTAGCAAATAACAATCAGTGAGGAGGTGAGCCTTTAGCAGTGAGCGGGGATGGTAAGTGCATATTAAATCATAGCACTGCTGAACAAAGAAAGTAATAGCAATTACATAACTTTGTATTATATATTTTTTAATCTGCATATGTTTGGTATAGTTTGTTGGAAATGTTGGGTATCAGATTTTTTTTGAAATTATCTTTACAAAATAGAAAAAATAGTAGTGTGGTCTGTATAGCCTGTTTAAATGTGATTCTTGCAATAATAATAGCTAACAGTTACTGTGTGCTTATTATGAGCCATGTATGGCATTAACCACCTTACATATATTGTCTACTTTAATCATTGCAACCTTGAGAATTGGTTATTACTATTTCCAATTACCAGTTTCCAATCACCAGATTCATTGGGTGATGAATCTGAAGCTTAGAGAAGTTAGTTTGCATAAGGTTATATAACCAATAGGTAGCAGTAGGTAGCAATGCTGGGATCTTATTAGGCTGTCTAACTCCAAAGCTGGGGCTCTTGCTCACTGCTTATTTAGTTTCTGATTCTTTCTTGAGGTTGTCTGAATTTCAATGAAAAGAAGCTTCCTTTTTGTTTTCATAGATCTTTATGCCCTTTTCTGATTATTTTATGATATAAATAGCATAGGGCTATTTTCCTCTTATTTTGATAATAGTTGATTTGGAATTTTAGACTTTTAATGGTACATAGACTACACAGGAAACTTTTTTTTAGGGTTAGCTTTTTGTTCAATAAATACCAGATCTTATTTTCTTTTTGTAATAATTATTCAGATAGGTTTATAATAATGATCTGAATTGGAAAAAAATCATAACTAACCAAGAAAACTAATACATTTTACAAAATTTTGAATATATTGGTCTAATATACCTAGATAATCTTATTATTCCATAGTTTAATTGCAGGACATGTTGCTGTAGAAAGAATTTCTTTGCTTACATAAATATTTATAGGTTTAAAATTGAGAATTCTTAATTTCTATTTGAATTTTCTGAAGGAAAAAGACATCATATTATGAAAATGTTAACATCAAGAGAGATCAACAACAAAATTATTGTTCATTTATCCCACGACTATATGAAATAATAGTATTGCAGGAGAAAAAAAAGGTAAGTTGAAAAGTGGCTAATGCATATATTTTCCCAATTTTAAGATCATTGAATCCTGTTATCACAAGGTTACTGTGCTCTTTGATCTAATGTGCCTGATAGCTAATCGTCATTCAATGAATATTGTAGAAGGAAGTATTTATTATTTCTGTCAAGTGGTTGCTGTCTCTGCTTGAAAACCTTCTTGCAAAGAACTCATGACTCCTAAGTTGGTTTTTTAAATGATTTAAATGCAAGAAAAATGAAACAAAGGGTAGAACACAAAAATCCCTGTGAATTTTCAAAAGCCAAATTTTACAATCCCTACATTATTACCATTTACTGCTGGTTTTTTTCTGACCCAGTCAGATGTAAGAGGCCTCTAACTGGATCCAAGCCTGTTAATTAAGGGATCAAATCCCATCCTGGACCCAGTCCCATTTCTGTTAAAACGTCCAAACCCAGTTTGGAAGAGAAATTTGCTCAAAGAAACTCAGAGAGCTCAAAACACAAATTCTTGGAGCTCTGAACTTGGGAGAGAGAACTTACCACAACCCTCAGCCGCTCTGAGGAATCAAGGACACAAGTGGGTCCTTGCAGGGTCCTTGCAGCTACCTTGCTTGTTCACTCAGCATTCCTGGGGTCATTAGAAGCTCTACTTTGGACCCCGCTTCTGACACCATCTGTTAAAAGGAAAACTTTAACCGAATTTAAAGGAGTGTGATTGAGCAATAAATGATTTGTGAATTGGGCAGCCCCCAGAATCACAGTAAATTTAGGGAGACTCCAGGGATGCCTTTTGGTCAGAATAAATTTATAGACAAAAACAGGGAAATGACACACAGGAATTGAAAGTGAGATACAGAAACAACTGGATTGGTTATAGCTTGGCATTTGCCTTATTTGAACACAGTTTGAACACTCAGCAGCGTATGAGTCTTTGAAGTATGGCTGCTGGGATTGGCCAAGACTCAGCTATTGTTACAGGTACATACTACTAAGTTAGGTTTTCAATCTTGTCTGCCTATTAAGTTAGGTTGCAGTTTGTCCACAACAATGGTAATACTAGATATCTTGGGGTGTTGGGGAGTAGATGGGGAAACATGTGAATGTTCTAAAAAGCTGAAGATTTGATTGCTTCTTAGTGTGTTCCTTTCTAGTGAGATCTAATGTACAGTTTAAATTTGACCTTACATAAGGGTAATTTACCTCTAATTACATATATGCTCTGAAATACATAATTTAAAAAATGTGAGCTTACCCAGAGGCTTGTTTATTATTAAATGTAATGTGACTCTTTCTTTTGAAAATCAACTCTGTGAAAACAAGTCTGATAAAATAAGAATTTTGAAGTATCAAAGAGAATTTATAATTAAAGCAGAAATGTGAAAGTATTGTTATTTTTGCATATTTAGTATAATATAAAATAAACGCTTTGCTTAAAATTGAAGATTTGTACAATCACTTTTTCTATCACAGTATCTTAAAACTAGAGAAATAAAAATCAGAAGAATCACTTTTTATTTCTTTACCTTATACATAGTAAAAAGAATAAGGAATTAAACTGAATGAACTGGTTAAAATATAGGGGCTTTATTGTATGTAGCATTTTCTCAGTGCTTTATTGTCATAGCAAATATTTGTTCCTAAGGTGTAAAAAATTTTAATTTAAATTTTCAGGCAATGAGGGAAGATGGAACCTTATTCATTCCCTAAATTCCAAATTTTTTGGCTTATAAAATGCTAAATGGTAGTTTCTCCTGATTATTTTGACATGGAACCATTAAATTTTCCATTGTTTTGTTATATACACAACTAAATGCTGACACTGATTGTGCATGTTTGCATGTGTTTGTATAGGCAAGCAAGTAGGAAAAGGCAGGGATGATTTAAAAGTGAATTTGGATGACTGTGTCACTAGCAGAGGTGGTCATCACAGAAGCTACTCATTATGATGAGCAGATAATGAGTTCAGCTTCAGACAATTGAATTTGGAGAAAAATTACCAATGGACAGTAGAAATTTGAAAATAGAATTTGTAATAGAAATTATGGGTAGAGATACTGATTTGGCAGTCATACTCATGAAGGTGATAATTGAAGTAATGAGGTTGCTATAGAAGAGAATACAAAGATGAGAAGAAAATTAAGAACAGATCCTGGAGGAACACAGATTTTGAGAGTGAGGCATGATAGAAGAGCTAGAGGAGAGATAATTAGTGAAGTAGGAAGTGAATTAGAAATTTAGATACCAAGGATAGAGATTCAAAAATGAAAGATTATAGAAATATTTTTATTTTTATTTATTTTATTTTATTTTATTTTATTTTTTTGAGATGGAGTTTTGCTTTTCTTGCCCAGGCTGGAGTGCAATGGTACGATCTCGGCTCACTGCAACCTCCGCCTCCTGGGTTCAAGCGATTCTGCTGCCTCAGCCTCCCAAGTAGCTGGGATTACAGGCGTGCACCACCATGCCTGGCTAATTTTGTATTTTTAGTAGAGACAGGGTTTCTCTATGTTGGTCAGGCTGGTCTCGAACTCCTGACCTCAGGTGATCCACCCACTTCAGCCTCCCAAAGTGCTAGGATTACAGGTGTGAGTCACCACGCCCAGCCCTGAAATATTTTTATAGAAAGATGGTCATGATAGGTTAGTAAATAAAAAAGCAAATGCATAATATGATTTTTATTACTATTAATAAGTGTATGTACATTTAGTCATAGTAAAATATTTATACTGTTTAACTCAAAGTGGTGAAATTATGGGTGACTTTTATCTTTTCTGCTTAGTTGAATTTTCTGTTGTTTTATAATGAACATGTTAATTAAAAAGATAATGAAATTGCAATAACTGTTTAAAAGAAGAGCTCATGGAGAGGAATGCAGGACAAGAACAAGGCTTTATATTTAGTTAATGAAAGGTATTGAGAGAGTATGTATTTTAATTATTGTGAGTATTGAGAGAACAGTTTTTGTAGCAGATAAAAGTTAGATTCCATGGAATAAGGGAAATGGGACCAGGCAATAGAAACATTGAATATATAATATATATGATTATAATTATTTGTTATATATTATATTACATGTTAATATATTACATGATATATTCCATATTAATATACATTATGTTGTATTGTTATATATTAATATATGTTATATATATTATGACAATATTATATATAATATTCAATGCCTCTACCACCTTCTACCACCAGAACTTTGATGGTAAAGGGAAGAAGAAAAATCAGATGGTCGATTGAAAAGATAACAGAATGAGAGACATTTTAATTTTGGGGGGAGCATATTCTTAGAATAGTTGAAGGATCCAGTGGGAATAGAGGAGCTACAGAAATGCATTGAACTGATAATTAATAGGGTAATGTTCAGAAGCAGATGATCAAAGGGACCCAAGGCATAAACAGCTAGTTTATATTAAAGAGGAACAGAAATATCTCTTTTTTTATGAAAAGGAAGAAAGAATGGATGATGAAAGAGATCAGGGATTAGAAAGCTTTTTCTGTAAAGGGGCAGATATTAAATATTTAGAATTCGTGGGTCATATAATCTCTTCCACAGCTACTCAACTGCTGTTGTAGCACAAAAGGAGCCGTGGACAATATATGGATGAATAATATTCCAGTAAAACTTTCATTTACAAAAGCAGACAGTAGCTGGATGTGGGTTACAGGCCACAGTTTGCAGATCCCTGAAAGACAAATATAGAGGCATATAGGAGATCCAGTAATTTTATTTGGATAACCTATGTTGTTCTGGTGATGTATTCAATGAAGTCCTCTTCAGAGGTGAGGGAGGTAGGTATTCAGTAATTGAGAAGAATGGAATACATATCATAATGAATCATAAGGAATGTGACAAATAAGATAAATAAAATAGTTGCAGGTGGAAGAAAAAGATCCCATTTTACAGTGGTTAGCACAAGCTCATTATTGACAATATGAGGGCAAGAGTAGAAACCTGTATTGTAGGGCTAAGCATTGCCAGAGGTTGGAGCTATAAAGATTGTTAAGTGGCAAGGGTTTGAGAGAATCAGAGCTTCCAAGGCCAGTATGGTTAATCTTGGAATCAAGGCTAAGGTCGGGGGGGAGGGGGAAGATAATGAAATCATAAGGGGATTCATGGCTTGTAAGAACAGGGAAGAATTGAGAATTGTGGTTACTGAGGGTAAATGTTAGAGTTCAATGTCATGGAGAAGAAATTGTTTCTAGTGGCCACAAATCTTGAGTGTTTTCTGTCTATAGGTAGCTGAATTGGAGATTAAATTTGTGATCAGGTGATAAGGGAACTGTAAAAATTTTTTTTAGTTCTGTTTACAAAGCTCTCGCAGGAATTGCTACGCTGCTGCTCTTGCGTTGTACTGGGCTATATTTAAGGTTGGGTGATTCTGATGACTGGCCAGTTTTCTGGCTGCTACCTAGAAAATGAGGCTCAAGCTCTTTTTTTTTCTTTCTGGGAATCACAAGCCTATTTTGGATAGATCACTCCTTCACACCTCTCAGCTTAGCACTTAGCCTTGGGATGGGCAAGTAGAAAACTTAGGGCCCATTCTCAAATTATTATGTTTAAATCTTTTGCTTTTCTTCCAACTCCCTTACTCATGGGATCTTTCTCTAGGCAAGGAGAGAAAATGCATGGGAAAAATGTCTCTCCCATGGTGCTTTCTTCTTTTGCTTTCATGCTTGATCCCTAACTTTTTATGATTTCTGGAAATTGTCTCTTATTCTGTATATCTTTCATAGTCTTAGCTGCCTAAATGCAGCTGAACAGAAATGAGAATATGGGAAGAGATTTCAGTGGCAAAGTGCTGCAGAATTTTCAATAGCTGCTATGAACAAAGAAAAAATCTGGTAGGCCAACTGGAGAAATGTCTTAATGTGGGATCCCAGGGGTGGTAAAAGGCAAGAAGAAATAACCAGTTTTAAAGGTCCAAGGAAAATAACACTTTGGAGTACCTCTCCTGCACATTAAGAGCAGCTGAAGGAGGCGGGGTGCAGTGGCTCACGACTGTAATCCCAGCACTTTGGGAGGCCAAGGTGGGCAGATTGCTTGAGGTCAGGAGTTTGAAACCAGCCTGGCCAATATGGTGAAACCTCGTCTCTACTAAAAATACAAAAATTAGTTCAGCATGGTGGCACGTGCCTGTAATCCCAGATACTCAGGAGGCTGAGGCACGAGAATCACTGGAACCTGGGAGGCAGAGGTTGCAGTGAGCCGAGATTGCACCACTGCACTCCAGCCTGGGCGACAGAGCAAGACTCTGTCTCAAAAACAAAAAAAAAAAAAAAAAAAAAAAAAGAAAGAAAAAGAAGATATGACTTGGGAAGGTTGGTAAATTTGGTGTGTGATAGGCCTAATAGCTTCACTCCATTTCTTGGCTCTTTAAGTTCAGCAGATGCACCCTTACAATAGATGGTACATAAAAATGAGTTATAGGTAGTAAGTCCTTGAAATTGTCTTGGAATGCTCTTTGCTTATATTGAACCCATTCCTCTTTCTCTTGTTTCTCAAGATTTCAGATTTCCAGGTTGTTTTGACCCTTAATGCTTAATGGTGTTTTTGTCTGAACTTATGATTAATTTGAATAATATTATTTCTTGTATATGGAATATTTTTTGATATATTTATCTAACATCCTCAATTAAACCATAGTTCTTAGAGGACAAATATCTTACATTCTCTTTTTAAAACATATAGTGAAGTGAGGTACCTATGTTTAGTAATGCTTTCTGAATGAATTAATTACAGATCTGAAAAATGGGCAGTTTTATTTAAAATTTTGAATGTAGAGAAATAATTCTTGGGTTTTTTTTCTTTCTTTGTATTTATCCTATTGCCTAAGCAGTATAGTTTTAAAGTAGTAAAATAGTTTAAAGAGTAAGTGCTATAGTATCATCATTTTTTATGTTTTTAATTTAAAATTTTTGTGGGTACATTGGTATATATATTTATAGGTACATGAGCTATTTTGATATAGGTATGCAATGTGTAATAATCATATCATGGAAAATTGGGTATCCGTCTCCTTAAGCATTTATCCTTTGTGTTATAAACAATCCAATTATACTCTTGTAGTTATTTTAAAATGTACAGGTCAGTTGTTATTGACTATAGTCCCCCTGTTGTGCTATTAAATACTAGGTATTTAAAAACATTAAAAAAAGTTTTTTAGAATTTATTTTGATTTTTAAACTTTGCAGGTACATAGCAGGTATATATATTTTTATGGGGTACATGAGATGTTTTGATACAGGCATGCAATGTGAAATAAGCACATCACAGAGAATGGGTTATCCATCCCCTTAAGTGCATATCCTTTGAGTTATACAATCAAATTGTATTCTCTAAGTTATTTTGAAATGTACAATTAAGTTATTATTGACTCTAATCACCCTATTGTGCTATCAAATAGTAGGCCTTATTCATTCTTTCTATTTATTTTTCGTACCCAGTAACCATCCCCACCTCCTTGTGAGCCTCATCCCCTGGCCATCCCAGCATCTGGTAATCATCCTTCTGTGATCTATCTATGTGAGTTCAGTTGCTTTGATTTTTAGATCTCACAAATAAGTGAGAACATGTGATGTTTGTCTTTCTGTGCCTGGCTTATTTCAGTTAACATAATGACCTCCAGTTCCATCCATGTTGTTGCAAATGACAGAATCTCATTCTTTTGTATGGCTAAATAATTCTCTGTTGTGAATATATACCACATTTTCTTTATCCATTCATCTATTGATGGACACTTAAACTGCTCCCAAATCTTAGCTACTGTCAAGAGTGCTGCTGTAAACATGGGAGTGCATATATCTCTTTGATATATTGATTTCATTTATTTTGGCTGTATGCCTAGCAGTGGGGTTGCTGGTTCATATGGCAGCTCTATTTTTAGTTTTTTTTTTGAGGAACCTCTAAACTGTTCTTCATAGTGGTTACACTAATTTACATTCCCACCATCAGTGTACAAGGGTTTCCTTTCCTCCACATTGCCACCAGCATTTGACTTTTAGAAAAGGCATTTTAACTAGGGTGAGATCATATCTCACTGTAGTTTTGATTTGGATTTCTCTGATGATCAATTATGTTCATCACCTTTTCATAGGCTTGTTGCCATTTGTATTTCTTCTTTTGGGAGCTATCTATTGAAATCTTTTGCCCATTTTTAAATTGGATTATTAGATTTTTCCCTATAGGGTTGTTTGAGCTCCTTATATGTTCTCGTTATGAATCCCTTGTCAGATGGGTTTGCAAATATTTTCTCTCATTCTGTGAGCTGTCTCTTCACTTTGTTGATTGTTTCCTTTGCTGTGCAGAAATCTTTTTAACTTGATGTGATACCATTTGTCCATTTTTGCTTTGGTTACCTGTGCTTGTGGGGTATCATTCAGGAAATCTTTGCCCAGTCCAATGTCCTGGAGAGTTTCTCCAATGTTTTCTTTTAGTAATTTCATACTTTGGAGTCATAGATTTAAGTCTTCAATCCATTTTGATTTGATTTTTGTGTAAGGCAAGAGAGAGAGGTCTAGTTTCATCCTTCTGGATATGGATATCCAGTTTTCCTAGCACCACTTATTGAAGAGACTGTTTTTTCCCCAATGTATGTTCTTAGCACCTTAGTCAAAAATGAGTTCACTATAGGTGTGTGGGTTTTTTTTCCGGGTTCTCTATTCTGTTTCGTTAGTGTACATGTCTGTTTTTATGCCAGTACCATGGTGTTTTGGTTACTGTAGCTCTGTAATATTGAGGTTAGGTAACGTGATTCCTCCAGTTTTGCTCTTTTTGCTTAGGATAGCTTTAGTTATTTGGGTCTTTTGTGATTCCACATACATTTTAGGATGTTTTTTTCTTTTTGTTTCTGTGAAAAATGTCATTGGTATCTTGATAGGGATTGCACTGGCTCTGTAGATTGCTTTGGGTATCATGGGCATTTTAACAGTATTGATTCTTCCAATCGATGAACAAGGAATATCTTTCTATCTTTTGGTGTCTGCTTCAATTTCTTTCATCAGTGTTTTATAGCTTTCATTGCAGAGGTCTTTCACTTCTTTGGTTAAGTTAATTCCTAGGTATTCAATTTTATCTGTGGCTATTGTAAATGGGATTACTTTTTTTGATTTCTTCTTCAGATTGTTCACTGTTGGCATATAGAAACGCTACTGATTTTTATATGTTGATTTTTACCCTGCAACTTTACTGAATTTATCAGTTCAAATAATTTTTTTTGTGGAGTCTTTAGGTTTTCCAGAATATAAGATCATATCGGCAAACAAGGATAATTTGACTTCTTCCTTTCCAGTTCGGATGCCTTTTATTTCTTTCTCTTGTCTGATTTCTCTAGCTAGGACTTCTAGTACTATGTTGAGTAACAGTGGTGAAAGTGGACATCCTTGTCATGTTCCATGTCTTAGAGGAAAGGCTCCCAGTTTTTCCCATTCAGTATGATATTGACTGAGGGTCTGTCATATATGGCTTTTACTATGTTGAGGTATGTTCCTTCTATACCTGGTTTTTTGAGGGTTTTTATCAGGCAAGTATGTTGAACTTTATCAAATGTTTTTTCAGCATCAATTGAAATGACCATATAGTTTTTGTCTTTCATTCTGTTGCTATGAGGTATCACATGCATTGATTTGCATATGTTGAACTGTTCTTGCATCCCTAGGATAAATCCCACTTGGTTATGATGAGTGATCTTTTAAGTATATTGCTGAATATGGTTTGCTAGTATTTGTTGAGGATTTTTGCATCTATGTTCGTCAGGGATATTGACCATCAGGCATAGTTTTGTGTTTTTGATATGTCCTTGTCTGATTTTGGTATCGGGGTAATACTGGCCTCATAGAATGAGTTTGGAAGTAATCTCTTCTTTTCTATTTTTTGGAATAGTTTGAGTAGGATTGATATTAGTTCTTCTTTTAATGTTTGGTAAAATTCAGCAGTGAAGCCATCACGTCCCAGGCTTTTCTTTACTGAGATACTTTTTATTATGGCTTTGATCTTATTACTTGTTCTGTTCAGGTTTTGGATTTCTTTGTGGGTTAACCTTGGTAGGTTGTATGTGTCTAGGAATTTATTCATTTCTTCCGGATTTTCCAATTTACTGGCATATAGTTGCTCATAGTAGCCACTAATGATCCTTTGAATTTCTGCAAATTCATTCCTTTGCATGATCTTTGAATTTTCTTTTTTACCTCTGATTTTATTTATTTGGATCTTCTCTTTTTCATAGTTAGTCTGGCTAAAGGTTTGTCAATTTGTTTATCTTTTCAAAAAACCATTTTTTGTTTCATTAATCTTTTGTATAGTTTTCTTCATTTCAAATTCATTTATTTCTACTCTGATCTTTATTATTTCTTTTCTTTTACTAATTTTGGGTTTGGTTTGCTCTTGCCATTTTAGTTCTTGAAGATGCATCATTAGGTTCTTTATCTGAAATTTTTCTACTTTTTGGTGTAGGGGCTTATTGCTATAAACTTTCCTCTTCTTAATGCTTTTGCTGTATCTCATAGGTTTTGGTATATTTCCATTATCATTTGTTTCAAGATTTTTTTTTTTCTTTTTTTGAGACAGGGTTTCACTCCTGTTACCCAGGCTGGAATGTAGTGGCATAATCATGGCTCACTGCAGCCTTGACTTCCTGGGCTCAGGTGATCCTCCTACCTCAGCTTCCTGAGTAGCTGGGACTACAGGTATATGCTGCCATGCCTGGCTAATTGTTTTTGTGTTTTTGTAGAGACGAAGTCTCCCCATGTTGCCCAGGCTGGTCTTAAACTTCTGGGTTCAAGCAATCCTCCTGCCTTGGCCTCCCAAAGTGCTGGGATTACAGGTGTGAGCCACCATGCTCAGCCCATTTCAAGATATTTTTAAACTTTCTTCTTAATTTCTTCATTGACTCACTGATCATTAAGGAGCATATTGCTTAATTTCCATGTGTTTGTATAGTTTCCAAAATTTCTCTTGTTATTTATTTCCAGTTTTATTCCATTGTTGTCAGAGAAAATACTTGATATGATTTCATTTTTTTGAATTTTCAAAGACTTTTTGTGGACTAACATATAGTCTATTCTTGAGAATGATCTATAGGCTGAGGAGAAGAGTGTGTATTCTGCATTGAGTGAAATGTTCTGTAAATATCTCTAGGTCCACTTGTTCTATAGTGCAGATTAAGTTTGATGTTTCTTTGTTGATTTTCTCTTTGGGAGATCTGTCTGGTGCTGAAAGTGGGGTGTTGAAGTCTCCAGCTGTTATTGTATTGGTGTATATCTTTTCTTTAGCTCTTATAATATTTGCTTTATATATCTGTGTTCTCCCATGTTGGGCACATTTGTATTTATAATCATTTTATCTTCTTGCTAAATTGACCACTTTGTCATTATATAATGACCTTCTTTGTCTCTTCTTACAGTTTTTGTTTTGGAATCCATGTTGACTGATGTAAGTATAGCTACTCTTGCTCTTTTTTGGCTTCCATTGGCATGGTGTGTCTTTTTCCATCCTTTTACTTTCAGTCTCTGTGCATCTTTATAGAAGTGTGTTTCTTGTCGGCAGCATAACACTGGGTCTTTGAAAACATCTGTTCAGCTGCTCTATGTCTTTTAATTGGAGAGTTTAGTCCATTTACATTCAATGTTATTATTGATAAGTAAGGACTGACGTCTGCCATTTTGTTATTTGTTTTCTGGTTGTTTTGTGGTCTTCTCTTCCTTTTTTCATGCCTTCCTGTCTTCCTTTTCGTGGAAGTGATTTTCTTTGGTGGAATGCTTTAATATTTTGCTTATATGTTGTATGTTTTTTGATTTGAGGCTACCATGAGGCTTCCAAATACTATCTTGTAACCCATTATTTTAAACTGTTGTAATTCTAATTATATAAGCAAATAACATGCAGAAATAAACTAATAAAAGCACTACACTTTAATTCTCTGTTTTTTTAACTTTTTGTTGTTTTTCCTTATGTCCTATTGTACTACCTAGGTCTTGTAGTTGTTATTTTTTATTGGTTCATCATTTGGTCTTTATACTTAGTCAAGTATAAGCTTATTTTAACAAGCATAAACAACTATATACTTTGTTAAGTATAACACTGTAATTTCGTGTTTGGGAATTTACCTGATGTTCTATTATACTGTGGCTAAGCTAGCACTCAAACTATAATATGAAGTCCTTCTTGACCTACACTCCCCTTTCCACAGGCAGAGGAGCCTCTCCCTGTGTCCACTACCACCACTGATCCATGGGGGTTTGAGGTGGAGGGGTTGTGCTAGGCCACTGCCAATGTTCACTTAAAGCCCAAGGGCTCTTCTGTCAGTTTGTGATGAATGCTGCCTGGCCTGGGACACACCCTTCAGGTCAGTGGGCTCCCCTCTGACCCAGGGCAGGTCCAGAAATGCTGTCCAAGAGCCTAGGCCTGGACTCGGGGACCCCAAAAGCCTGCTTGTTGCTCTACTCCACTGGTCGAGTTGGTGCGAGACAAAGTCCCCTTTACTCTGCTTTTTAAAAACAGAATGAGTCTTTCACTGTAGCCACCACAGCTGGGAATGTGCTGGGTTGTCACTGAAGCCAGCACATTTCAGAACCCAAGGCACAAGGCAAACTCCCTAGTTATCACTGCTGATTATTCAGGGCCCAAGGGCTCTTTAGTCAGCAGGTAATGAATCATGCCTTTGCTTCAAGGCAGCAGGTTTCCTTTTGGCCCAGGGTGTGTCTAGAAATATCATTCAGGAGCTAGGGCCTGGAATGGAGGCTTCACAACTCTGCTCAATACTCTATCCAAAGTCCTCTTTACTCTTCACTCTCTTTAAGCAGAAGGAAGGAGTCACTTTCATTGCTATAAGCTGCACTGCCTGGGATTGTGGGAGGCACGGCACAAGCTCTCCTTTAGCTGCACCAGCTGGTATCTCCCTAGGTCCTGTGCTATCCTAGCTTCCTGGCTCTAAACCCAGTCTACTACTATGAATTGCCTAGAAATTGCAGTCCTTCTGTCCTAGACTGTCTTTCAAGTTTACTTAGGACCCCAGAGCACTTCACTCCGTGTAACAAGACTTCCTGAGAAACTCTAGTTCCAACCACTGGGATGGGTGATTCCCCTCTGGCTAGGGCTAGTCCAAATGCTCCTTCTATGCATGGGTGCTGGCTGAGCTCAGCATGGCTTTATTCTCCACTCTGACAGGGCAGCACCAAGTTCAATGTAAAGTCCCCCAATTGCTGTGCTTTGCCTCTCCAAAATGTACTGATTCTGTCTCTGTGCTGCATGGCTACAGTTGGGGGATGGGGAAGGAGTGACATCGATGATTCAAGACTATATCCCCTGCCTTCCTCAATGCCTCTTTTAGCGTTATGAAGTCAAAACCATGTACTGTGATTGCCACCTGGGTTTTGGTATTTGTGACGGTGCTTTTCTTCATGTAGATAGTTGTTAAAATTTTGTGTTCCAGCAGGAGAGATGAATGGTGTAGGCTTCTATTCCATCATCTTTATCCCCCTCCTATAGTATCTTTGGATTTAAGCATTTTCTGATATTGCAACAAAATGTGTAATAATATGAATATAATATTTTAATCAATGTGAGTTTTTTAAATCATAACTGTCCTTGAATTTACTTAATTTGTACATGTAGTATTGTTTTAATATATCTTTTGAATATTTATGACATTATAATTTACTGAGAATTCCTGTTAAAAAACACAAATATTAACTTTTATGCAACCTGAATAGTTCACTAAGGAATGTCTTGCCTTTGGCAATGAAAAATTTTTTAGTATCTTTCTTAATATTAACAAAGTCTTTAAGATAAATCTTTACTATGCAAAAACATTTGGTAATTGTTTCTATTGAAGTTCTTTAATTTGGTAATACAAAATATATGAAGTTGCTGTGTTAGCTTTGTATTAGGTCAAATAACTGAGTACAGTTTCACTAGGTGGCGCCAATACTTTGGCTCTTTATTGACATAACACCTTATTTATTCATTCATTTCTCAAATTCATTAAAACAAATGCCTAAAAATTATGTGGCAAGATACGAAAATTTGCCTTGAAGTTCATTTGAGCAAATCCTAAACTGGAAATTTTAGTTCTTTTGGCAGTTCTGCCAAATGAAAATACCTTGGAACTATTTAAAAATATTATTTAGATTCTAGCTGCAAACTAAGTTATTTCTATTCATCTATATAAATTTATCAAAATTATTAGACTTTTAAAAGTTATATTAAAAGATGTTATTTATAGACTAGGTTATTCTCTTGATTAGTATAAAATTTTAGGTTACATAAAATAATTTACTAATATAGATCTTAAATAGAAAGTTTTAGTTTCAAATAAGTAAAATTATGCTAAACAGGTTAATAATAAGGACATGAAAGGGAGAAATAATTTAAAACTTTCTGTGTTTTTTTCTTTAATGGGTGGATTATTCCATTAATTTCAATGTAAACATTTTTACTTTCTTCCTTATCATTGTTAGTCTTTAATATTTATTAAATTATCTGGTTACTTGGCTTTATAACAGGCACTTGGCAATTTATTACTGTTAGTAATATGTGGTAGTGGCCTTGGTTTTGAGGGTGAACAGAGACTTAAGAAGACTTGCACATAATTAAACACGCTTTTCCCCCCAAACCTAAATTAGTTGTTCATGTTACAGTTACTGTATCTCAAATTCTGATTGCTCACTTTTCCCATTTTCTAAGGAAAGTTTTTCAATTTTTAAATTATGGATTTTAAAGAAGTGAAAAAAGTGTCAATAAAGATGGAAGGGTTGAATTATTAAAAGATAAATGGACAAAATTATATGTGAGAGAAGGAGTGAGGAAGAGATTGAAAATATTTAGTTATTGCTTAAACAATAATTCAGTATCTTTTGGGAGAGCACCTTATCTCTTCAAGTCTTATTGTAAAATAGTTTGTACTGCACTGAGTGAGTTTTATATACCAAAGTCATACTCATTCATGGTAAAATTTTAAGATGTGTATAAAATAAATAAAACCTTTTGTATTTATTTATGGTTTAGTGGTAAAGAATTCAGACTTTGGAATCACACTGCATTCAATTTCTTGCTCCATCACATACTAGGTGTGTGATATTTTGCTATTCTAAGCCTCAATATTCTTCCTTTTAAGTCTCTAAAATATGAATAATAATACTCTACAAAAAGGTTATTGTGAGAATCCAATGATATCTGAATATATATGTATATACACACAATGCTTAACACAGTGTCTGACATTTGTTAATATTCAGTAAATGATAGTTATTATTACTCAATGAACAATTAATTGAACACCTATTATATGCTGTGGATAGAAAGATGATGAATAGGGCAAAGCTTCTTGAATCAAGGAGTTCACATTCCTCAATGGAAGATACAAATATCTAAACAATTATACAATGAGATCCAAATAAAGTCAATGAGGCTTAAAAGGAGAAATGCGTTGATTTTGCTTGGGGAATGATAGAAATCAAGAAAGGATTCTAAAGTGTGTTAGAGTTATATTTTGAAGGACAAGTAGCTATTTGTCAGACGGAGTACAACATTCCAGGCAATGAGGATTTGTAAAGCCACGAAGGTGTGAGAAAGCAACTTGTATTTTTATCTATAGGAGATTTTGGGCCGGTAAACATTTTAAGCAGTTGATTCATGAACAGATTTGTAATCTCAGAAAGTTAGAACAGGTAATTGTTAGGCAAATGGATGGGATCTGAGAGTAGAGAGAGAGAGGGAAATCATGAGGTAATGCATAGTGGTTCACATAGTGAATGCCTGTATTAAAATAGTTAAATGAGACTGATAATGAGGGGAAAGTACAAATACTTAGGTGTTAGCATTGATTTTATCTAGTGATTAATTTGATGTGGGAGGATGAGTGAGAAAGGAGTATTGATGATGACTCTTAGATTTTTTGCTTAGAATACTAGGTAAATGATGATATGGAGATTTGGACAGAGAGGATATAAGAAGCATGTGACATTTTGTGTGTGTGTGTATGTATTTGTGTGTGTGTGTAGCTGTGTGTAGTATTGGAGAATCAGGTTATTTTTAGCATCTATTATATAGGCATAAGTGTCTTGAAGGTAGTAAGAAAATTGAGGAGGATCTCAACTAGAGATTTAGGAACCAGCCTTTGCATTAAATTACACAATCTATAGGGATTAGGGACTTAATCTGGGATATTTAGTGGTAAGTGGAGGAAGGGGGACCTAAGAAAGAAATAAAGAAGAAGGATTGAAAGTGTCAGGATTAATAGATGACACAAACAAAAGGAAACATATCCCATGCTGATGGTTGGGGAGAATCAATATTGTGAAAATAACCATGTTGCGCAAAGCAATCTACAGATTCAATGCAATTCCCATCAAAATACCATCATCATTCTTCACAGAATTAAGGTAAACAATTCTGAAATCCATGTGGAACAAAAAAAAAGCCTGCATAGCCAAAGCAATACTAAGCAAAAAGAACAAATCTGGAAGTATCGCATTACCAGACTTCAAATTATACTACAAGCCTATATGTACCAAAAATAAAACATGGTACCAGTATAAAAATAGGCATGTAGACCAATGAAACAGAATAGAAAACCCAGAAATAAAGCCACATACTTACAGCCAACTAACTAATCTTTGACAAAGCATACAAAAACATAAATTGGGAAAGGACAGTCTATTCTATAAATGGTGCTGGGAAAACTGGCAAGCCACATGTAGAAGAATGAAATTGGATCTCCATCTCTCACCTTATACAAAAATCAACTCAAGATGAATCAATGACTTAAATTTAAGACCTGAAACCATAAAAATTCTAGGAAATAACATCAGAAAAACTGCTTTAGACATTGGCTTAGGCAAATAATTCATAACTAAGACCCCAAAAGCAAACGCAACAAAAACAAAGATAAATAAATGGGACCCAATTAAACTAAAAAGTTTCAGCACAGCAAAAGAAATAATCAGCAGAGTAAACAGAAAACCCACAGGGTGGGAGAAAATATTCACAAACCATGCATCTGACAAAGGACTAGTATTCAGAATTTACAAGGAAGTCAAACAAATAAACAAGAAAAAAATAAATACTCCCATCAAAAGGGGGGCAAAGGACATAAGTAGAAATTTATCAAAAGAAGATAGACAAATAACCAACAAACATGAAAAAATGTACATCGCTAATTATCAGGGAAATACGAATTAAAATCACAATGAGATACCACCTTACTCTAGCAAGAATGACCATAATTAGAAAGTAAAAAAAAAAAAAGATGTTGGCATGGATCTAGCGAAAAGGGAATACTTTTTCACTGCTGGTGGGAATGTAAATTAGTACAACCATTGTGGAAACAGTGTGGATATTCCTTAAAAAGCTAAAAGTAGAACTACCATTCAATCCAGCAATCCCACTACTGGGTATCTACCCAAAGGAAAAGAAGTCATTACATGAAAAAAAACACATGCACATGCATGTTTTTAGTAGCACAGTTCGCAATTGCAAAGATATGGAACCAACCTAAGTGCCCATCGACCAACGAGAGGACAAAGAAAATCTGATATATATACACCATGGAATACTACATAGCAACAAAAAGGAACAAATAATGTCTTTTACAGCAACCTGGTTAGAGCTGGAGGCCATTATTCCATGTGAAGTAACACAGGAATGGAAAATCGAATATTGTATGTTCTCACTTATAAGTGGGAGCTAAGCTACGAGGCTGCAAAGGTATAAGAATAATATAATGGACTTTGGGGACTCAGAGGGTAAGGTTGGGAGGGGGGTCATGGATAAAGACTACCTACTGGGTACAGTATACAATGTCTGGGTGATGGGTGCACCAAAATCTCAGAAATCACCACTAAAGAACTTATTCATGTACACAAAATCATCTGTACTCCAAAAACTATTGAAATTAAAAAAAAATGGCAGGATTAGAATGAAGAAGGAGTGATCTCACAGGAGCCAGAGGGGGACTGAATTTCAAGAGAGTTGTTACTACCTGTTTTATATATTAATACCTTGGGTTAGTTAATAAAAGTGGGATCCAAAGGCATCCAATGAACTTTGCAGAAGTTCGATATTATTGGTTACTTTAGCAAAGCACTGGACTAAGTTGAAGACAGCAGATAGCAGTGGATTGAAAAATGGATGGGTGGAAGAGAAGAATGGTTGGATGGAAGAATGGATGGATGGTAGGGAAAAGAATTATATGAATATAAACAGCTCACTCTTTCAGGGAGCTTGCCTGAGATGGAAGGCAGAGAATAAGCTCTTGAATGGCTAGAGTTTTTTTTTTTTTTTTTTTTCCCCTAAAGGAGAGATTTTATAGTCCTTACCAGTATAATTTTCTATGTATATTATTTACCGTTTGCTAATTTAGGAATACTGCCAAAATAAGATCTAGGTTTATGATTTTAAATAACTTAATAATAATTGAATTATTATTATTTAAATTCAAGAAGCATTTATTGAAGTGAGTATTTTGTTCAGCATTACACTAGTTTCATTAGGGTTTTAGAAGCTAAAAAGAAACTTTGTTTTTATTTGTCACCTAGTTGGAGACATACATCACATACAGGAAACAATTAGAAAAAATACATAGTGTCTCCTTTAAACATTTGGTGAATGAATGACATAAATCTCTAAGGTTTAAAAAGAGCATATATGTGAAATATAGGGCTATATTGAGTGAGATAGGCTTTAGTCAGAGAATACTTCTTATCATGAAATACTAAACTATTGTAATCTGATCCTAATTACCTCCCCAACTTCTTCTTTCACAGTTTTTCTGTATGCATCCTATACTTTAGTCACATTGAACTACCTTCAGTTTCCTGAACTTAGCATTATTTCCCTCATCCCATCCCTCTCCCTCTGCATAAGCCAGTCTTTGACCTTGAATGCTCACTTTCTTGTCAGGTGGCTGATTCCTGCTCATTCTTTGAGATTCAACTGCTGGTATTCTACATATATTCCACTCATGGCATTTATGATGTTATATTATTATGGTCTATTCCCATGTCTGTTTCTGCCACCAGATCATTCCATTCTTGGAGTCAGGGATTAGGGCTTATTAATTTTAAATCCCAAACACAAGATGGATTAAAAGAATTATTGGAGGCCGGGCACGGTGGCTCACGCCTGTAATCCCAGCACTTTGGGAGGCCGAGGCGGGCGGATCACAAGGTCAGGAGATTGAGACCATCCTGGCTAACACGGTGAAACCCCGTCTCTACTAAAAATACAAAAAATTAGCCGGGCATAGCGGCGGGCACCTGTAGTCCCAGCTACTCGGGAGGCAGAGGCGGGAGAATGGCGTGAACCCGGGAGGCGGAGCTTGCAGTGAGCCGAGATTGCGGCACTGCATTCCAACCTGAGCGACAGAGCCAGACTCCGTCTCAAAAAAAAAAAAAAAAAAGAAAAAAAGAGAGAATTACTGAATTAAGGGATACAATTATATTGATCTGAATTTTAAAGGAAATCTTGGATTGATGGAGACAGTGGATGAGGGCATTTTGAGTAGAAGTAGAAAACGTGTAGCTGGCAGACTAATATGGTTGGCTAGTGAGACTGTCTTGGTGAGTACTGAGAACCCTGATTAAATAAATAATGGAGGGCTTTTAATAGAAGCTGGGGATGTACAGATTCTATATAAATTATTTTAGTCATTCTTAAGCAGGAAAACGTGAAGTTTTTAGGTTATTCTGATAGTTGTTCATTTTACAGAACTCTCTTGTTGTTCAAATTTAATGCATTCTTGAAAACATGTTGGATAGCATATTTTTGGGTAGCAGGAACCTGTATTCTATTATCTTAAATGAGACGATAATAATATATCCAGCCCATGCAAGATTCTAGGTTGATTCCTTAAATAAAACGCTCTTATGTGTCTGTATAACAATCACCCAAGGATTTCTGAAAGTTATTTAAGACATGTTATTTAATTTTTCAAAAATGTTTATTGAGCTCATTAGTATGTTTGTGTGCTGTTGACAACGATACTATTCTATATCAGATATTATTTTGTAATTTGCAAAAAAATTCTATAATGTAAGTAAACAAAATAGTATGTTATAGATAGTGAAAGTATCTGGATTGTTTGGGTTGGTTGTATCCTTAGTCATTTGGCAGACCAATAAAGTGCTAAGCCTGAGGAGCAGGGAAAGAATGGGAGGAGGAAGAAATATGATAAGATGGTTGCAATAATGCACTATACTTTAAACAAAACCAGTGGCAATATCATCAGGACAATGGTTAAGACTGGAAACTGCTTAGATTTGTGCAGGGCACCTTTTTTTTTTTTTTTTTTTTTCTGGCATGCATCTGTGGATTCATTATAACAGGTTTCTATTTGTCTATTAAGTTTTGGATGTTTGGCAAATCATTATTTAAATATTTGGATTCAGGTAGTGAGAATTTAGATAGTGATGGAGACCTATATTTAATGATTTTCTTTTAAAAATGAAATGAATTTGTTTTGGTGGAGTTGTAGGTGTTTAAAATTTGCTAAATCTTATTATATGTACATTTATATATATGAAGCAGAGTGCTTTCTTACTATTGTGTATTTTTAAAAAATATTTTTCTTCCTCTTTTTTATTTAAAGTCATCAGCACTGAAAAACTATAGCACGGACTTTATGGAAGGCAGATTTTGGTTTGAGTTCTGCTCTAATTTTACCTAGCTGTGGGCCCTTGGGCAAATTACTTAACTTTTATAAGGCTCTTCTGTGAAATGAGGATTATCTTATAGCTTGTGAGAATTAATTTCAACCAGTGCAAATGTGCATACTTTAGTATATATTATAGTGATAAAGCTTACTACTTTATTCAATAATTTATATTTTCTACAATTCTGCAAATATAGCAAGTTTAAATTAATGGTACATATAATACTTTTCTTTTGGATTGTACTCCACTGATACACATTCATTTAACTGAGTCAAGGTGAAACATTTAAATTCTGTTTTAAATTTTTTTATGTGCTCATCTGAGCCGTTGCCTACCTTAACACAAAACTGTTTCATCTTTATACTGGAACAAAATATTTATAAAAGGAACATGAGGACTGTGATAACTACTGATTAGGCTTGATCAATATGTATGGATGTGATAATTTTAATACTCTTGAAGAACCCATATTATAGACTCATTTCCTTGGATTCCTTTTTTAATTTAATGAAATAACATATTATGATTGCTTAGAAAAAAGCTACCGGAACTAATAAGTGAGTATAGGAAGGTCACACAATATGAGATTAACATAGAAAAATAAATTGATTTCAATATTCTAGTAATGGAAAAATAAAATAAAAACACCATTTAAAGTAGCACCTCAAAACATAAAATACTTAGGAATACATTTATCAAATTATGAACAATGCCTCTGCACAAAAAGTATAAAACATTGCTGAGAGGATTCTGAAAAGATCTAAAAAAGTTGAGATATATGCCATATGTTTATGGATTGAAAGATGCAATACTATTAAGATGTCAGTTATTTCCAGATTAATCTACGGATTCAATGTAATAGTATCAACCCAATCAAATTCCTAGCAGAAGTTTTTGCAGAAATAAACTGATTATAATGTTTAGATGGAAAGGTGGCAGATTTATACTACTTGATTTCAAGATTTATAATCAATCAGGTAATCAAGATAGTGTGTTATTAGTATTAGGATAAACATATAGACAGTAAAAATTAGAGAGTACAGAAATAGATGCACACATACAGGTTAACTGATTTTTGACAAAGGTACCAAAATAATTCAAAGAGGATGGAAAGTCTTTGCACAAATAGTGCCAGAACAACTGGATATCCAAAGAAAACCAAACCAAACCAAACCTTAAAACATAATTCATCCCATACAAAAAAATTAATTCAAAATGGGTCATAGATCTATGAAACTTTTGAAAGGAAAAATACTGGAGAAAATCTGTACAATTTTGGGGTAAGAAAATGTTATTTAGATAGGGTACAAAAAGTATGAACCATAAAAGGAAAAAGTTGATAAAGTGGACTTCATCAAAATTAAATACTTATGCTCATTGAGTCATTATTAAGATAATGAAAAGTCTAGCCAAGACTGGGAGACAATATTGCAACATATCTATCTGACAAAATAATTGTATCTAGAATAATAAAGAATTCTTATAACTCAATACGAAGACTAAGAACTCATTAAAAACAGGCAAAATATTTGAACTGGCACTTTATAAAAGAAGACATAAGAATGGCAAATAAGCACAACAAAAGTTGCTCTAAACCGTTTGTCATTAGGAACATGCAAACAAAAATGACAGTGACATACCAAGGCACCCCCATTTAAATGGCTAAAGTAAAAGAGACTGGAAATATCAAATACTCATAGCAATATGTAGCAACTAGAACTCTTCATACATCCCTTATGGGAATGTAAAATAATAAACTCACTCTGGAAAAATTTGGACAGTTTCTTAGAAAGTTAAAATATACATACTGTGTGGTACCACAATTTCACTCCTATTCGTGTAACAGAAATGAAAATATATGTTCACCAAATACTTATACAAATATTTTCATGGCAGCTTTATTTGTTATTATGACTATTTCCCCAAACTGAAAACAACCCAAATGTTAATCAGTAGGGGAATGGATAAACATAAATTGTGGGATATTCATACAATGTAATACTATTTAGCACTATAAAGAACTACCTATAGAATGACTCATTCATAAAACCACATGGCAAATCTCAAAAATATACTCTTGAGCAAAAGAAATCAGACATTAAAAATACTGTATGATTTCATTCATATAAAATTCTAAAAAAGACAAATCTATAATAACAGAAAACAGGGCAGGCAGATAGTTCATGCCTGGAATTCAGCACTTTGGGAGGCTGAGGCAGGAGGATTGCTTGAGCCCAGGAGTTCAAGACCTGGCCTCTGCAAACAAACAAACAAACAACAACAACAAAACAGCTGGGTGGGGTAGCTCATGCCTGTAGTCTCAGCTGCTTGGGAGACTGAGATAGGAGGATTGCTCGAGCCACCCAAGAGTTGGAGGCTGCAGTGACCTGTGCTCATGCCACTGTATGCCAGTCTGGGCAACAGAGTAAGACTGTGTTAAAAACAAAAAAGAAAATAGATTAGCTGTGGAAGAATTGTCTGAGAATTGGCACACGGAAACTTTTGAGGTGATATTAACATTCTATATCTTCATTACGGTGATGGTAATAGAAATTATGGATCTGTCAAAACTCATATTGTTTGCAAATTACATTTGTGCTGTATGTAAATTGTATGATATGTATAGAATATAAGTGGTGAGAAGGCATAGATTTTTGTTTTTCATATTTTGTTCACTGTGGTATCCCCTCTTCCTGGAATACTCCAATATTAATAGAATTGTATATTTGAAGAACGAATTGATAAATGTGATGGAAATTTGGGTTGGATAACCTATAAACACTTGCTTTTTGGCAGTATTTTTATACAGTCTTTTTCTGCTTGTCAATCTTGGGTATTTTCCCCATTATAATAGTGTTTTCATATTTTCCAAGAATTTCTATATATGAAAGGGTTAAGCTCCACCAAAGATTTGCTTGGCTTATTTACACTAAAGGAAAATTTATATCAATGTGACATTCTAATTATTTGGAAAAAATTAATTCTGATATACCTAAATTCTTATTTAGTAGTGAATTCCAAAGTTATCTTTTCATCAGAATTTAAATTCACAGATTTACCATTTATTTTTCAGGATTTTAGTGTTTAAGAGTCATTATTACATGTGTTAGTTTTCTGAGATGGGACTGATTAAGGTCTTGAGAGAAGGCTAGTGGAAGTGGGGTGAAAGAGAAGAAGAAGTGAAGGAGAAGAATGGTACAGGATGATATTGGGAGGTAGACAGAGGCCAAAATAGGGCTTTGTAGGTCTTGATAAGAAATTTTGATCTTATTCTTAGGACAATAAAGGGTTTTATGTAGAAGAGAAACATGCTATTTATACTATAAGGGCACTAGAATGGAGAGATCCAGAGTAGAAGATTATGGCAATAGTGGCAATACACATGGAGTAGATTTATTTAGAGTACTATTTGGATTGTGGTAGAAGGGCTTTGTGTGCCAATGTAAGGGCTTTGTGCTTTACTGTATTGGCAAAAGGGAGTCAATGAAGAGTTTATCAAGAGAGTGGCATGATTAGATTTGTTATTTAGGAAATGTTTGACTTATTAAGAGTGGACCAGCCGGGCGTGGTGGCTCACACCTGTAATCCCAGCACTTTGGGAGGCCGAGGCAGGCGGATCATGAGGTCAAGAGATGGAGACCATCCAGGCCAACGTGGCGAAACCCCGTCTCTACTAAAAATACAAAAAAATTATCCGGGTGTAGTGGCGGGCGCCTGTAGTCCCAGCTACTCGGGGAGCTGAGGCAGGAGAATGGCGTGAACCCGGGAGGCAGAGCTTGCAGTGAGCCGAGATTGAGCCACCGTACTCCAGCCTGGGCGACAAAAAAAAAAAAAAAAAAAAAAAAAAAAAAAAAAAAAAAAAAAAAAAAAAAAAAGTGGACCTGCACATGGGAAAGATGGGAAGAAAAGCGACCAGGTACACGTTTCTTTAATAGTCCAGATAAGAAATGCTGCAGCTCTGGGTCTCCTGTCTGTGGCAGTACTTTTCTCATATTTCCTTTAAAATAAACAAGGTCTTGAGTTGCTCCTTCTGTGTAGGGGTTATAAAGTGGGGTAGGACTAAACCGAGATGTATCCTGGCTTGAGCGCTGTCATAAGGTGAGTGTCTCTTAATGTAGGAAGTGGTTTCAAAATAAAGGCCTAGAGAAATTCCCTGAGGCACTAGAGTAGAACATAGTTGCAGGGGGTTTGCATTGGGTTCAAGTGACCTCATTGGTGGGTTGGAAGTATATTGGTAAGGATGTCTGACTGTCTTCATAACTTTCTCATAAACTTGCTTCCTCCTATGAGACAATGCTTCTCAGTTCTTAATACTTAATTATTGTATTTCTTGGTAAGGGCTTTTAGTATTTACTGCACTTAAACTTTTATCATAGCCTCTATTGAACTAAACTATTTGTCATGGCCCTGTTTATCAGTCTTGGGCTGAACTAATTAATAACTTCTTTTTGCTTCCTTTGCTAAGTTTATAAAGCTCAAGCTTTAATCCCTACTCAGTCTCCTTTATCTTAGTGTTATGCATTAGAAGAGTTTGCAGCATTCTAGCCATCCTCAAGATTGAAATGTTTTCAAGGATTGAAAATACTGACTTTTAAGACAGAGAATCTTGCCCTGCTGGCAAAGATATGGGGAGCCATGACCCATGAACACAAGTCATGTCTCTAAGCAAAATGAAGTGTTTAGCCACGTCTTTAACTTTCAATAAAATCTGATGCCATGTCAGAATAATAGTTCATGTAAAGCTGAATCAAAGCTATCCAGAAATTCTCATGGTTATTTCCATTGCTTATTCTGGGATTCTCCAAATAATGGTCTCCCATCAGTTTTTTTTAAAATTTGTTTTGAAGAAAAATTGATAATTTTTTCACAAGAGAACCCCCTTAGCTTTTATCTCTCATTTTCCCTTGACTCATGCATCTAGAAATGGAAACTCAATGGACGATGACTACCTTGCATTAGGAAAAAATACACTGTATCTTCTGACTTTGAAGGAGTTGTCAGCCAGGGATTACTATCAGGAGGAGGGCTCAACACACACTGATACTCCAAACTGACCTCACAGATAAATCAATATCGTAGTTCCTTAAAAAAGTTGAAGTATTTGCTTTTAATCTAGAACACTTAATTCTGTGTCAACACCCTTGGTTAGCCTCCAGGAGACTTGACCCTCACAGAATACCTTTCATTTCAGTTGATTCTCTTATCTGGAAGTTTTGCAATCATTAATTTTTCCTTGCTCTCAGAGCTGAGGGGACATGGTAGAGGGCAGCAGCTTTGAGAGGCAGGACAAGGACATAAAAGTGGCCAAGGCAGCTTCTAAAATTTAGATAAGGATGGAGGGGAAAGCTCAAAGGTAGAAGCTGATTATTGAGTCTGAGGAATAAGGTTAGATTATTAGTAGGAAAGTGAGGAAATAGTTTAGTATCTAGGAAAATCAATAATTGGTTGGTAAACATAATAAGAAGTGGCTTAGGCAAGGAGTCAGAATGGAGATCATGAATCGTGTAAACATGTTGAGTCCCATTTTAAAGCACTGCTGGTTGCATGTTTTGAAGATGGGCATTATGGCTTAAAGGCTAGACTATATCACACCACTGAACTTGGCACTTCACCTTTTTCTTTTTTTTGAAAAGTACGAAGACATCAACTTATTTTTTCAATGTTTCCAACTCCATTTATCATTTGAGATGGGCCTCCCTTGTTGATAGCCTGCTACACATACATGTATATATGTGTGTATGTATGTATATTTGGTGCATGTGTTCACATGAATTGTGACTGTTAATTATTGGCAGGTAATGAAGTTTAGTCATGGGTACCTACTTCAGTAAACTGATTTGCTGTAAGAATAAGTGGTCCATTTGTGACTGAAGCAACAATAGGTTATCTTAAGTCTTTACATAGAAAGTGAAACTGGCCAGATGTGGTGAGGCATGCCTGTAGTCCTAGCTCCTTGGGCGACTGAGGCAGGTATATTGCTTGAGCCTCAGGAGTTTGAGTACAGCCTGGGCAATGTAGCGAGACCCTGTCTCTAAAAAAAAAGGTAAATAAAGTAAAATTTATAACAATATAGTTTATAAACTATAAGAACTTTAAACTTAATTGAAAATTATTTTACATTAAACAATTTTTACGTAATTTTCTTTATATGTGAAATGTGCTTTTTATGTTGTGTTTTTACTTTTGGATTTTATATATTTACTTTTTATACATACTAATTTTTCTAAGGACCTATTTTAACATTAGATTTTCTTTAAGAGCTTAGGTATAATGTAATACATATTTTATTCTGAAAAACAACTGCATAAGTTATGATTCTTAAGTATTACCCACAGCATATTTCCGAAAGTAAAATGACCATCTCTATAAATTTTTAATAGATATATACATTTTTCATAGATTGGTATCTCTAAGTGAATATTCTTTTTGGAATCTTGAGTAAAATCATTTTATATTGACATTTAAAAATATTTTAAAAGCAACATTTTAGAGAGATTGATATTGATTATAAAATTACATGTAAATGTACCTAAAGAGTTTTATGACATAGAAAATATTACCTTTTTTGTTTCTCATATGGAATATTGCTATATCACATTATGAAGTTGATATCTTGTGGGCCAGTCAGTGGAGAAGTTTTGGAGAAATTAATTTCTCAAAAATGCTAGCAAGGTTATTTTTAAAGACAATCTAATAAACAATAGTAATATTGTTTAAGAATTAATAAAGAGAAGTAGTAAAGAGTGAGTATGTAAGTGAAAGTGAAAAGAATTTCTTGGTAGGACAAATGAGTACCTGAAATACTCATCTTTGCTTTTCAAATTAAACTGTTTAGGTTATCAGTCAGTCAAAAGTGGCAGGTAGTGACCATTAGGAGGATTCATTAACACCCTGCAGCCAGCTTATACTGGGTGACCCACATCTGTCTTCATTAGAAGTTTTATCATTGTCAGTAGTGAACAGATGGATCATTATTGCCAACACTGCCCTTTGGGCCTACCTGGAGGACATGCAAAGTCATCCTATACAGGATACATATCCACATTTGCCTACTATGGTGTGAGAACAATATTTTTTGTAATGGTGATATATTGTTTATTTTAATCAACAGGCTGCCCATGTAGATTAATATTTGTAAACAGTTTATGCAAAAGTATTATTTTGGCAGAGGGAGAAATTATTTAAATGTATATATATAATATAACTATTTTGAGCATCCAAAAAAGCTAGGATATAATTGAATTGTAAATTAGGCATGGGCCAATCATAAATTTTCATTCAGATAATCTGAATTTAGTAGTATATTGAAAGGCTTTAGTAGAAACATAATATGCAATAATATGGTTATTATTCGTGCTTCTACATCATAAATACAGTATATTTCAAGATTTCCTTCCATTATCTAATAGACTTACAATACCTTTTAACATATGATATTAAATTCCAAATTTAAGATATTTAAAATCTTAAAGACATATGTATATATAATCAGTCTAATTGGTTAATATGAAAGGGAAATCATTCTCTTAGTCTTAAAATATGCAATTTTAGCATTGAATTATATCTTTTGAAAGATTGTCTATTTCTTTCTGTGGTGGCAAGCACTTTTGTAAGAGCAGATTAATTCCATTTGTTGTAACATCCTGGGTGTAAATGATGGGAAGATATCAACTGTGCACATTTATCTTTGCACTCTTTGCACACCTGCTTTTCCTTTTTCTTTTCTTTTTTTTTTTTAAATCTATTGCAAGGCTTTGTTCATTAACGTTCAGGGTCACCACAAGTGCCAGCCACTTGTATATACTTAAAACACTGAAATCATGAAAACTATTCTATGAGATAGTTACTCTTTACATAATACTGTAGAATATTGTTTTAAATATAGTATGTTTTATTTAGAAATCTGAAGACTAGGGTCCTGGGGAATTGGAATACTTAGCTATTCAAGGAATTTATTTTTTCCTTAAATGTTATCTGCTAACTAGTGGTGGAATTTATGTTTTTTCATATAAGTTTCCAAGAAAAATATATTATGAAAATTCCCAAATTATAATGATAACAAAGGACCAGATTTCCTTTAACAGTATCCATAGGTGAAGATATTTGCCTAAGGAGTTTAATGAGTGTTTAGTAGAAACACAGTTCCCTACTTTTTGTTCAAAAATGTATGTTTTCTTCATGAGCGTTCTCTTTTGCTCTTTTTTTTCTCTCTCTCTCATTTTGTGGTAATCAACTTGCTTTACAGTTGGAGAGAAACAAACATTTTTTTAAGGATCATATTTGAAATGACAGTCAAATTCTGTGTCTGAGATAACATTTATTTTATTTTGGGGAAACTGTCCTTGTATTGACATTCAATTTATCCAGGAACAAAGAGAATGAAAGAATTAAGAATATGTTGGAGGGCAATTGCACAATATATTTTTTCTACCATAGTGATTCTCTCTGAAATAGCTAAGTGTAATAGGAGATCACATCAATAATATGAAAATCTTTAGCGCTGTCGGGGTAGGAATTTTAACATTGGTGAACTTTGCTTTTTAACTTCTATGATATTTGACTGGTATAATTGGACACTTAGGATTTATCAACGCAACATGTAATACATTTTTAGCATTTTTATCTTGTGTGATAGTTTTAAAAATAGTTCTACATATGTAGTAACATTTCTTTGTTTATCATTTTTCTGTCTAAATTTATCTTTTAGGTTGTGGGGCACTAATTCTCAAACTTTTTGGCTTCAGGATCTTTTTATACTCTTAAAAATATGGAGGGCTGGGCATGGTGGCTCATGCCTGTAATCCCAGCACTTTGGGAGGCCAAGGCAGGCGGATCACCAGGTCAGGAGATCCAGACCATCCTGGCTAACACGGTGAAACCCCGTGTTAAATACAAAAAATTAGGCGGGCGTGGTGGTACGCGCCTGTAGTCCCAGCTACTCAGGAGGCTGAGGCAGGAAAATTGCTTGAACTGGGAGGCAGAGGTTGCAGTGAGCTGAGATCGTGCCACTGCACTCCAGCTTGGGCGACAGAGGGGGACTCTGTCTCCAACAACAACAACAACAACAACAACAACAACAACAAAACTATTGAGGACGCAAAAGAACTTTATGTGGATTACATCTAGTGTTTCTTATTGTATTAGAAATGGAAAATGAGAAACATTTAAAATACAAAAATACACAAGTGTTTATGAGAGAACAAAAGTCAACTAGGCAAACAAAATCTTAGTATTAATATGAAAATAATTTTGATCTTGAGGATTATCTGAAAGGACATCAGGAATCTCGAGGGGTCGCTGAAGATACTTGAGAACCATGATTGTAGGGTGTTTGAAGTTAGAAATAGTATCATTTTGTTTGTTGATTAAATGTCTAGACCAGAAAGTAGTTAATACATATTAGTAATAGTAGCAACAATTCTGTTACTGTATTTGTTATAAAGTTGTAGTTTTAATGTATATGTAGGTTTTAATTGAACTGTTTTTTAGTTAAAAATGTAAAATTGTATCCTTTCTTTAAACATATAGTGAAGTTGTAATTTGGAATAAGAATAGCTTTTCTAACTATACCTGTTAAAATTATAGTGACCTTTAGAGATATTGCTGGCATTTGCGACTCTTACATCAAATGTCTTCCAACATTATATACTGTCAGCAGGGAACATGAGGATTGACTAGTTTGAAATGGCAGTCTTAGGGAAGGACATAAACTTTGAAATATCTATAACTGCTTTTAATGTCAAAAATCACACATGACCAATCTCAACATTTATTTTAATTCTTCTAAAATCTCTACAAATTTTAAAAATTATCAGTTTAAGGATTATCTTCTTACTTAATTTCCATCAAATGTTTATGTGGAAACAAACATGTTGATATTTTCAATTGTGATTAAAAATATGAGTCAGAAAGTAGCAAGCTGTTTATGAGATTAAAGTTACATCAATTTTAATAAAATTTTGAAAGACTTTTACAGATTAATCTGGATTTTTAGTTCTTTCAGTTTTTCATATTGGATTACGTGGATGGTTCACTACTCATTTGCTGCTTCTTTTTTTTTTTTTTGAGACAGAGTCTCGCTCTGTTGCCCAGGCTGGAGTGCAGTGGCATGATCTTGGCTCATTGCAAGCTCCGCCTCCCAGGTTCATGCCATTCTCCTGCCTCAGCCTCCTGAGTAGCTGGGACTACAGGCGCCCGCCACCACGCCTGGCTAATTTTTTGTATTTTTAGTAGAGATGGAGTTTCACCATGTTAGCCAGGATGGTCTCAATCTCCTGACCTCGTGATCTGCCCGCCTGGGCCTCCCAAAGTGCTGGGATTACAGGCGTGAGCCACTGTGCCCAGCCTCATTTGCTTCTTTAATTCTTTTAAAAATTGTATGGTCTTTTCTTCTCGAAGATTTTAAAGGTGCCCTCAAGGGTTTCAGACCTCATAGTTAAACTCCCTAAAAAATATAACTTTATGTGATATTATGCAGGATAGAGTACTTTTCTTAATCTCCAGAGTATATTCCTATTTTTGAAGCTGCATTTTATTATTATGTAACTATTTTTTTCCTTCTCATTTAATACTATTCAGTCACATACTTAAGTATCTTAGAAAGAATGGTGAAGGTTTTTGTTTTTGGTGATGTTGGAGTAGCTTGTATCAGACCAAATATCCCATTGAGAGAACAACTATAGAAGCTTGATAAATTATATGACTACAAAATAGCTGAATGCAGCAGAAGCAAATAAAGGAGATAAGACTTAAGGGATAAAGATTCCAGAGAGGAGGGGACATGCATTGATGTTAACCTGACATTCTCTGAAACTTTTTCTATCAAGGCATCTTTTTATTTGTAAGTGGCATTGGACAAATGGCTAAGATACTAAGCATAAAAGGCTAGTAAAATCTTCCAGCAGTTTCACAGGGTTAGGAAAGCAAAACTTGAAATTTAGTCAATGATTCAGGAACCAAGAGTATTAAGTAAAGGGAAGCACAGAAAAGCAATCCTCACATGCTGTGCTGCTTTTCCCCTTGGGACATTTGTTTATTTCTAAGCTAGGCAGGCAGGAAGTTACAAATCCAAGTAGAAAGAAAGTGGGAGCTAAAAATGTAGGCTAGATTTGGTGGTCTCATGGTGCTCCTGGGAAGACAGAAAACAGGAGGAGGCACTACCCAGAAAGAGGGACGCTGGTAAACACTTCAGATTTTCAGGAATAAGAACAAATGGGAAATACATCAGCAATCACAAAGATTTAAACTCAGTGTCAAAATTTCTCAATCCCTGATGGACCTAAGATGTTCTGCCCCTATTTAACCTCAAGACAGACATTAAATCCTCTCTGGAGGTAGATAACATAATTCAGAGTTTATATTTTTTTCTGTATATAATATACAGCACTTAATTATAATCCAGGAAGACACCAGAACCCCTAGTTGATCAAGATATTTAACTTCTCAAACTTTAAGATAATTGTGATTAAGCTGCTGAAGAATTAGGAAAGAGATGAAGAATTTAACAGATAACTGAGTTTATAAAAACATCAAACAGATTTTAGTAATTATAATACATAAAACGAAGAATGCCATTGGTGGTTTTAACAAAAGATTAGAACTGGAGACCTCTTTGTCATTTCACTAATCCTAGTGCAAAAGAGAGAATTAGTAAGCTTGGAGACAAGTTCAGTGGAAAATATTTAGACTGAAAAACTGAGTAAAAGAATAGAAGGTATAGAAATGACTGCAAGAGACATTGGAACATATGTGTAATTAGAGTCTCAGAAGGAGAGAAGGGAGAGAATGGGACAGAAGTATGATGTGAAGATACGGGATGGTCATATGCCAAAAGGGATGAAAGACATCAACCTTTAGATTCAAGAAGTTCTACAAACTTTAAGCAGGATAAATACAAAATAAACCCCATGAAGGCACAACATATTAAAATTGCTAAAAACCAAATACAAAAAGGAATTCTTAAAAATGATTGGAGAAAAGAGACAGCTGTCTTCAAAGGAGCAAATATAACCTCTAGATGACTATTCAACTGAAATGATGGGAGACCAGAAGACAATGGAATATTATTAAAGCGATGAAACCAGCTTATCATTTTATACCCAGAGATATCATTCAGAAATGAAGGTGAAGTAAGGATGTTTCTTTATCATGAATTACATTTTAATAAAGTAATCTAAAGAACTATAACAGGCAAAGTAATTTCAGTAGGAAAGTTATTTTTGTGTCAGTTGTTTTCAGCGGGAACTGAAAGAAAAGAACATACCAAATATATACACACAGATCCTCAGCACCTCTAAATAAAAACAAAAATTATCTAGGGGAGCAAAGATCTGAGGGGAGAGGATTTCTATAGTTTGAAAGAGATTTGCCAATGATTCTGATATTATTCTCCTTTACTCCTATTTTAGAAGTTGATTTTTTCTCTTATAAGCAGTGATATATATTGTCTCCTTCCAAATTTTACTTAAAATATACTTGCAATGTGCCTATAACAAGGCAATAATGCTTTAAAATATGCAGTGCCAAATTTGTGTTGTATTTTATCCTTAATTTTATTATTATTATTACTATATATATTTTTTGGGATGGAGTTTTGCTCTTGTTGCCCAGGCTGGAGTGCAATGGCACGATCTTGGCTCACTGCAGCCTCCGCCTTCCAGATTCAAGCAATTCTCCTGTCTCAGCCTCCTGAGTAGCTGGGACTACAGGTGCCTGCCACCACGCCCAACTAATTTTTTGTATTTTTAGTAGAGATGAAGTTTCCTCATGTTGGCTAGGCTGGTCTTGAACTCTTGACCTCAGGTGATCCACCTGCCTCGGCTTCCCAAAGTGCTGGGATTACAGGCATGAGCCGCCACACCTGGCCAATTTTATTATTTTTTCTATCATCAAAATTATTTATTGAATTATCAATGTTATGAACACTGCTGTGATATTTTGAGTATTAGACATACATTGATAATACACAGTATGAAAATTCTAGCATAGTGCCTGTCATGTATATATACTATATTCTAACTCAGCTGAGTTAGAATCTGTGTATTAGACTCTATGACTGGATTACAAAGGAGTAGGAGAAATAATTTTTAAATATGTGTTTTATATTAATGTACAAGACAGGACAAGTGGAAAAAATTCTAATACCTCTTTTATCTAGCAGTATTAACTATGTGAAACATAGCAAGACATCTGCAAATAAGTATAAAAAAACTCCTTAAGCAGCATGAATGAATGAATAAATAAATAATAATACCTGTGATAACCACCACGTTTTTCAGGCATTTTAACCACCTGCGTCTCATATATAGCATTCATTCTTCACAACAGTCTTTTGAGGTATTATTGTACACGTTACAAATGAGATTACTTGAGATAAAGAGATTAAATAGCTTGCTCAACCTCGCACGACTAATACGTGTGGAACTAAGGTCAAGCAATAAAGCAGGTTCAAAGTAGTAGTGTGTTTAGAGCTGCTAGGTTGGCTTGCTACTCTTCCACAGATTTGGCTGATAAGGAGATAATAAGCCCAAATGGATTTAGACAGTTTAATACAGCAATAGTAACATCTTGGCTCTGGTTTCCTGATCTCCTAGCCTAATGGGACAATGTGAATAGGGTCAAATGTTGTCTGCACACACAGTTGGGGATGCATTATAGGAGAGAATTACTGAAATTAGTGGACTCTTGTTTTGTTTTATTTTATTTTATTTTATTTTATTTTATTTTATTTTATTTTATTATTTTCCCTTCAACTTTTATTGTAAGTTCTGGGGTACATGTGCAGGATGTGCAGGTTTGTTACATAGGTAAACAAGTGGTTTGCTGCACAGACCAACCCATCGCCTTGGTATTAAGCCCAACATCCATTAGCTGTTATTCCTGATGCTGTCCCTCTCTGCACCCCACAGGCCCCAGTGTGTGTTGTTCCCTGCCATGTGTCCATTTGTTCTCATCGTTTAGCTCCCACTTGAAAGTGAGAACATACGATGTTTGGTATTCTGTTCTTGTGTTAGTTTGCTGAGAATAATGGCTTCCAGCTCCATTCATGTCCCGCAAAGGACATAATCTTGTTCCTTTTTATGGCTGTGTAGTATTCTGTGGTATATATGTAACAACGTTTTCTTTATCCAGTCTATCATTGATGGGCATTTGGATTGATTCCATATCTTTGCTATTGTGAATAGTGCTGCAGTGAACATACACGTGCATGTGTCTTTGTAATAGAATGATTTACATTCCTTTGGGTATGTACCCAGTAATGGGATTGCTGGGTCAAATGGTATTTCTGCCTCTAGATCTTTGAGGAATTGCCACTCTGTTTTCCACAATGGTTGAACTAGTTTACACTCCCACCAACAGTGTATAAGTATTCTTTTCTCTCCACAACCTTGCCAGCATCTGTTGTTTTTTTGACTTTTTAATGATTGCCATTCTGACTGGCATGAGATAGTATCTCACTGTGGTTTTGATTTGCATTTCTCTAATGATTAGTGATGTTGAGCTTTTTTTCATATGTTTGTTGACTACGTGAATGTCTTCCTTTGAGAAGTGTCTGTTTAGGTCCTTTGCCCACTTTTTAATGGAGTTGTTTTGTTCCTGTAAATTTAAGTTTCTTGTAGTCGCTGAATATCAGACCTTTGTCAGATCGATATATTGCAAAATTTTTCTCCCATTCTTTAGGTTGTCTATTCACTCTGATGATAGTTTCCTTTGCTGTGCAGAAGCTCTGTAGTTTAATTAGATCCCACTTGTCAATTTTTGATTTTGTCTCAATTGCTTTTGGCATTTTCATCATGAAATCTTTGCCTGTGCCTATGTCCTGAATGGTATTGCCTAGATTTTCTAGGATTTTTATAGTTTTGGGTTTTCATGTAAATCTTTAATCCATCTTGAGTTAATTTTTGTATAAGGTGTAAGGAAGGGGCCCAGTTTCAATTTTCTGCGTATGGCTAGCCAGTTCTCCCAGCACCATTTATTAAATAGGGAATCATTTCCCCCATTGCTTGTTTTTGTCAGTTTTGCTGAAGATCAGTTAGTTGTAGGTATGCAGTCTTATTTCTGACTTCTCTGTTACGTTTCATTTGTCTATGAGTCTGTTTTTGTACCAGTACCATGCTGTTTTGGTTATTGTAGTCTTGTAGTATAGTTTGAAGTCGGGTAGCATGATGCCTCCAGCTTTGTTCTTTTTACTTAGAATTTCTTTGGCTATTTGGGCTTTTTTTTGGTTCCATATGAATTTTGAAATAGTTTCTTCTAATTCTCTGAAGAATTAGAAGAACTTCTAGAGTTCATTGTTTGAGTTTGGACCCAGAGAGCCCCTAAACATGTAAATGGTAGTTTAATGGGAATAGCATTGAATCTGTAAATTACTTTGGGCAGTATGGATGTTTTCATGATATTGATTCTTCCTATCCATGAGCATGGAATTTTTTCCATTTGTTTATGTCATATCTGATTTCCTTAAGCAGTGGTTTGTAGTTCTCCTTGAAGAGGTCCTTTACTTCTCTTAGCTGTATTCCTAGGTATTTTATTCTATTTTGTAGCAATTGTGATTGGGAGTTCAATCATGATTTGGCTCTCTGCTTGCCTGTTGTTGGTTTCTAGGAATGCTAGTGAATTTTGCACATTGATTTTGTATCCTGAGACTTTGTTGAAGTTGCTTATCAGCTTAAGAAGGTTTTGGGCTGAGATGATGGGTTTTTCTAGATATAGGATTATGTCATTTGCGAAGATAATTTGACATCCTCTCTCTCTATTTGAATACCCTTTATTTCTTTCTCTTGCCATATTGCCCTGGCCAGAACTTCTAATACTATGCTGAATAGGAGTGGTGAGAGAGGGCATCATTGTCTTGTGCCAGTTTTCAAGGGGAATGCCTCTAGCTTTTGCCCATTCAGTATGATATTTGCTATGGGTTTGTCATATATTTCTCTTATTATTTTGAGGTATGTTCCTTCAATATGTAGTTTATTGAGAGGCTTTAACATGAAGGATGTTGAATTTTATTGAAGGCCCTTTCTGTGTCTGTTGAGATAATCATGTGGTTTTTGCCTTTAATTCTGTTTGTGTGATAAATCACATTTATTGATTTGTGTATGTTGCACTAACCTTGCAACTTGAGGATGAAGCCAACTTGATTGTGGTCGATAAGCTTTTTGATGTGCTGCTGGATTTGATTTGGTAGTATTTTTTTGAGGAATTTTTGCATTGATGTTCATCAAGAATATTGTGTTACATCTCTGCCAGGTTTTCGTGTCAGGATGATGGTAGCCTCATAAAATGAGTCAGGTAGGAGTCCCTCCTTTTCAATTTTTGGAATAGTTTCAGTAGAAATGGTACTAGCTCTTTTTTGTACCTCTGACTCTCGTTTTATATCAGAGCTGCTGGCAAACCTGCCCATCCTTACTTCCAGGGAATGACATACTATCTTTATTAACCTGGAATGTAGCACTTCTACCCTTGGAAGTGGAGGTAGGTATTTTTACTTTCATTACCCTTAAATGCTTTTGGTGGAGGTGGTGTCTCTATATTTACTATCTGAGAACATGAATAAATATGTGCCGTAAGTTACTGTCTTCATCTTTCTAGGGCCATCTGCTTATACAAATCTTGAAAAGAAAATCCTGGAGCATGTTGACTGTTAATGTCTAGATGTGTATGGAAATGTGAGAGATTCATGGAGAATTGTCTCTCAACAGTTAGAACTCAAACTCTGTTCTGTAAGCAGCACACGTTTTTGCCTCTATTTTTCATGCTTTTTTTAGCTTAAGAGGGGCCGTTAGGACTTACTGCTCTTTAGGCATCTGTCAACAAACTTTCTGATATCCCAGCACACAGACAATTAAAATTGCTGATTAAGGGCACACTAATTGCAACAAATCATGATGACAGATGGGGAAAAGGCAAAACTTTATAAATAATATATACAAAAATTAAAATATAGTTTCCTACAGTTATTTATTGTGGCGTAAAAGTTTGCATATCAGTCATTTCTAAGATAATTACTACTCGATGTCTAAAAAAACTTAAAAACAATTATTTAAATGACTCTTTTCAATTATGTATAGAATATATGTATGTGGAACACCAAATTCTCCTATGAAGAATAATAAATTAGATAGTACAGTGCAAGTGTTTTACAGCTTATGATCAATATATTTATATAGATGATCCATTATACTAAATTGCACAAACATACTCATATCTTTATTTATACATTTTAATACATTTTTAAAAATGTAAAAATGTTTGGTTACTTAAATTCTGAAATTCAGTGGCATAAAGTGGTTGTCACCCTACAGTCTTGTGCTGCATAATGATATTTTGGTCAACAATGGACTGCACGTATGATGATGGTCCCATAAGATTATAATACTGTATTTTTACTGTACTTTTTCTATGTTTAGGTATGTTCAGATACACAAATACTATTGTGTTACAATTGCCCACAGTATTAAGTACAGTAACCTGCTGTTTGGGATTATAGCCTAGGAGCAATAGGCTATACTGTATAGCCTAGGTGTGTAGTAGGTTATACCATCTTGGTTTGTGTAAGTACACTCTATGATGTTTGCACAATGATGAAATCACCTCACGACACATTTCTCAGTAAGTATTCCCATCGTTAAGTGATTCATGATTGTACTTACACTCCTACACACAACTTCTGGAACACATTGTTTGAGTCTGGACCCAGAGAGCCCCTAAACATGTCTAAGGGAAGAAATGGATAATTTTCTTCTCCTGATTTTGGTTCATTTTAATATTATCATGAAACTCAGGAGCAATTCAGATTAGTGGTCATTTTTAAATACTTGCGTTTCATTCAATAATTTATTCAACAGATATTTAATAAGCTTCTAACAAATCCTAGGTACTCTGTTAACCTCTGGAGATACAATGGTGAACAAATGTACATGTAGTCTCTGTCCTTAGAGGTTTATTGTCAATCTAGCAAAAAAGCATCACAGAAACAAATGCTAAGAAGGGATACTCTAGGGTTTTTAGAGTTTAAATAAAGGAATTTGACCTAGTCAAAGAAAAGGAAAAGAAAGCTCTTCTTTAGAAGTGATGTTTGAACTGAGATCTCAAGGAGAACTTGAAATAGAGGAAGAGGTAAGGAAAGTGTGTTCCAGGTAGAGGGAACATCAAAGGCCCTGTGGTGGCAAGGGGGATAGGATAGCCAAGGGAGCACAGCCTGGATGTTACTTGATGTTCATACAAAAAGGAGGTATACAAAAGATTATGAATTACTTTGAAAAACCAACAACTTTTTGTGAAATAAAGATTAGGTTTGGACGCCTGGGTCATCTAGGATACACAATCAGGAAAATTTATCAGAGAAGTAAAAAAAATAACCCTGCTTTTGTTTTCTTCTAACTCAATGATAAGTGACAGATGGGATTTGGGATAATGATAGAAAAATATCTTACTACAGAGACTTAAGAATGAGAGGGTTCTTTTTTATAATAACCAATAAAGCATGATATGAGCAAGACTTCAACCACCAAAACTAAGTTTAAAGATACATGTTTATCAGAAAACTGCTTTTGTTTCAGTGCTTATTGTTGAAACCTTTAAAAAACATATTAGCCCTATCCTTCGTCTCTTTTAACTTTATGCCTAATAATTTAGTACAAACAATACATTATCTGGGTGAGAGTTCTTTCAAGATATAAAGTAAGACATTAAACATATTTTTCATATTGATATTGCATTCCTTTCCTGCTCCAAAAACTTTACGAAGCAAATAAATCTTGATATTATCTGAAAGCCTGTTAAGACATTAACTTATTTTAGTATCAGAAGCACAGGCTCTCTGGCTTCTGGCTGTATAATAATCAGCAATACTGTTCAAAAGGTTAAATCATTTAAATACTTATCTTTAATAGCTAAATAACCCTGGTTGGCTCATTGGATTGGCATTTTCTTTAAAATTGAATATATAGGAACTATATCCATATTTCTGCTGTAAGTTTACTTCAAGCTCAAATAATTTTTTTAGTGTTTACATTGAGGAGTTTCAGAGCTTTATCAATCACTCTTCTAAGGTACAGTTCCAGCATTGCTTTCTGTAAAAAGCCTACCTCTCTCTAATAACCACATATACTTTTAATTTTCCACTGTGTAAGTGTTTTCATATAAAGAGAATGATTGACTCTTAGAGAACTACACTAATTGTTTAGATTTCTAAAAATGAGAGGGGTGAGAAGGAAACATTTTCTGAATGTGTTGTTTTAGTTGATGAGGCCATGTTTAAATGTTAGAAACATTTTCTCGATGTGTTGTTTTAATTGATGAGGCCATGTTTGAATGTTGAGTCTTTTGACATCCATAAATGCCAACCTCTTAAAAAGAGAATTGGATTTCTCTGTGTTTCTGAATACATATTATATATTTAATAAAAAGAACCATAACTGATATTGATTGTCAGAAATAATAAGCTTGTAAATAAATAAAGCAGTCACTCGAACAGTTACAGGTAGAGAAAATGAATTAGGCAATTTGAATACATACAGTACTCTTAATAGTGAAAGTGATTTATGGATATTACATCTTTTTGACTCACAAACAACAGTAGTTGCTCTGGTAGAAAGAAGTATATATTTACTGTCATTTTTGCCGTCTTTTTTCAGTGTTCCTACAGATTAAGATATATTTTCTTGTTAGATATGGGTAAGGGAATGTGACATAAGCTCTTTTTTTATTTTATTTTTTTTTAAAGATGGAGTCTCTGTCTGTTGCCCAGGCTGGAGTGCAGTGGCACGATCTCAGCTCACTGCAACCTCTGCCTTCCAGGTTCAAGCGATTCTCCTGCCTTAGCCTCCCGAGTAGCTTGGATTATAGGCATGCACCACCATACCTGGCTAATTTTTGTATTTGTATTAGAGATGGAGTTTCACCATGTTGGCCAGGCTGGTATCAAACTCCTGACCTTGGGTGATCCACCCGCCTCAGCCTCCCAGTTGTGAGCCACAATGTCCAGCCAAGCTCTTTTCCAAATAGAATAAATATTAAAGTGTGACTTTTCTCTTTATGTTTTGACAAATAACTTATGCATTAATACATACTATATCCCATACTGAATTTTCCTTTTATGAGAGTCAGGTTGGATGACATTTGCTAAATATGTAATTTTGTAAAATTTTTAGCCACTAAAGTACTTTACATACTTAGATAGGTTATATGTTTAAATATATTATAAACAATATATTTTTGATATATGAAACAAACTTCTCTCAGCCTTGATAGGTATATATAATATACATATTTGATATACCTACTTGATAGGTATATCATTAAATTATTAAATTTAATGATGTTAAATTATTAAAATATGTATTTTCCTACTTAATTTTGAAGCAATTTTGGAAAGTTGTTCCTAGAATATACTTCTCTAGGTAGGTGTATCAAGATATATACTTGGTAGGTGTATCAGGTGACAGTGAAATGAGCTTAGTCCATCTTAAATATAAAGGAAATTTATTGGTAAATTTTTGGATAAATTTAGCTCAGGCCCTGTTTCAGGACCCGAAGAAGTCATCAGGATCTGGGTTTTTCTCTTTCACTTCTGGGAACCTCTTCTGTACTTGTTTTATTCATAGATTGGATTTTTCCTTATGGTGGCAAGGTGGTTGTTGCAGTGATAGCCTCACAGTCTCTATTGTTCAAGTATAGTTGAAAAGAGTGAGTCTGGCTCCTCGCTAATTCAAACAGAAGTCAATTTTGAATAAGTTAATATCTTATTTGTTTGTGATGTTCATTCACATGTATTAAACTCTAATATACATTAGGATCAGTTTCTGGGCTATTTGAATTGTTCATGCAGTGAATATTGGGCAGGGCTATTGTGGAAGAAATCTATTTTTTATTGTCGTTATAACTTCTAAGTGGCTATAAGTGGTATAGAAAAAAGATTTTATTTTATATAATTATCCAGTTACTGGACCCCTTACAAACTATTTTTTCTTAATTTTAAGAAATATTTAAATTATTATCTTAGCTTTTCTAGATAATCCTGTCATTAAAATGGTAATTTGCCTTCCACCCTTGTCAGTATTATGTTTGGTTTCCTATTTTGTTGCCTTGAATAGAAATTATAGCATAGATAATATTAAATAATAATGGTGTTATCTGGCATTTATTCTCTTTTTTATGGGAATGCCTTTAGTTTTTCCCATTAAGCATAAGGTTTGCTTCTTGTTTAAGATGAATATCCTTCCTTTAAAAAATACCTTTTCAAATTAGCTGGTCTTAGTGGCATGCACTTGTAGTTCCAGCTACCGGGGAGGCTGAGGTGGAAGGAAGGCTTGAGCCCAGGAGTTTCAGGCTGCAATGAGCTATGTTTGCACCACTGCACTCCAGTCTGGGTGACAGAGTGAGACCCTGTATCTAAAATAAATAAATAAATAAACTTTTAGTACTGATTTTATAAAATTTTTTAATTTGGAATGTATGTTTTGTGTTTTTTTGTTATCTAATAAGGTCATCATGTGTTGAATCATGAATCTCACTAAACCTACTGACAAGACAGATACATTGAGAAATTTTCTAACATTAAGCCACTCTTGAATTACTGAATGATGGTAGACAATATACCGCTGAATTTATTTTGCAAGTATGCAACTTTCTTGAAGAAGGTCTGCCAGGTTATTGTTTTCCCAGTAGAGAATGCCTCATGTTTATGAATACCTGAAAGCCATATAATGTATATCCTCTAAACCCAATATGAAGTTTTAAACAAGATGATGTGCAGGAAAAGGAAATTGTTTGAATATAAGGAATCTGTTTTAACATTTTACATCTTAAATATAGTTTGTTACATATAGGGTCTTAGTCACTACACAAAAATGTAGGTTTCAGGTTGATGTATGATAGATTATAACTGTTTTTAGCACAGAACATTTACTTTTTAGGAAAGAATTAATGATGTTATGCAGCTGAAGTCTGTGTTTTATTTGGATTTTTGCGCCTGTGATATTAGTCTGTAGTAGCGATAACAAGAATGTCAAACTATGGTGTCAAAGTTGTTTATTTCATAAAATAAATTAGGTAACTTCATGAACATTTCAGAGAGCTTCGTGGCAAAATTTTCTTACTGAAATCATTTTTGAATTATTTGTTGACTTTTATAATTTAACTTTTACATCTATTTTTTGTTTAATCAGATTTTCCTACTTAATTTTGAAGCAGTTTTAGAAAGTTGTTCCTAGAATATTCAATTTAATATATTCATTTTTATTAGCATAGCTTTATATAGAGTTAGATGTTTAAAAACTTCCATATCTTTTATTATATCACCTTTCTCATTCCTAAAATTGTGTTTATTCGTGGTTTCTGTTTTCTTCTACTTGTCTTTTTTTTGAGGCAGGGTCTCACTCTGTTACCCATGTGCACACCACCACACCCAGCTAATTAAAAATATATTTTTTTTGTAGAAACGTAGTCTCACTGTGTTGCCCAGGCTGGTCTCAAACTCCTGGACTCAAGAGATCCTCCCACCTCGGCCTCCCAAGGTGCTGGGATTACAGGTGTGAACCACTGTTCCTGGGCTTCTTGTCATTTTTTTATTGTCATTTTTGTTATTATTATTTTATTTTGATATAGACTTGTCTATATTTTTTTCCCTCAAAGTGGTGAATTTACTTACCAATTGCTTAATTTTAGAGATTTATTCTTATCATTTTCTTTTTCCTGCTTTAAACATCTTAACTTGAATGCTTTTTCATTATTTCCATAAAAGTACAATTCTATGATTTAATGTCTTGGAATAGTTTTGGCTACATTGTATAAAATTTGATAGGTTGTGATTTTATTTTCAGTGTTATTTAAATGTTTTACTTTAGATTGACTTTTTTTTTTTGGGATGGTGTCTTGCTCTGTCACCAGGCTGGAGTGCAGCGGTGTGATCTCAGCTCACTGCAATCTCCACCTCCCGTGTTCCAGCAATTTTCCTGCCTCAGACTCCTGAGGAGCTGGGACTACAGGCATGTGCCACCATGCCCAGCTGATTTTTGTATTTTTAGTAGAGACGGGGTTTCACTGTGGTGGCCAGGATGGTCTTGATCTCTTGACCTTGTGATCCGCCCACCTAGGTCTCCCAAAGTGCTGGGATTACAGGCGTGAGCCACCGTGCCCAGCCTAGATTGATTTTTTTTAAACAATAGGTATATATAAGACTTTTTCATTTTCAAAGAGGTTGTATTTTTTGATATTAAAAAGAAACTTTGTTATTTCTGGTTTTACTGTGTTAGAAGATGAAGCCTGGTGTGCTGGCTCATGCCTGTAATCCTAGCACTTTGGGAGGCTGAGGTGGGAGGATCACTTGAGCTGAGGAGTTTGAGACCAGCCTGGGCAACATGGTAAGACCTAGTCTTTACAACAAATTTTTATAAAATTAAAAAAAGAAGATAATAACTATATAATTACTACTTTAGGCAGTTTAATGAATTCTTCTTTGTGGCTTGAAATATACTTAATTTAATTAATATCCAATGGATGCTTGAAGTGGTATATTATTAGATTAGTACAAAAGTAATTGCGGTTTTTGCCATTACTTTTAATTATATAGTTACCATCATCTTCTTTTAATTCAAAGTAACGGCAAAAACTGCAATTGCTTTTGCACCAATCTAATAATTTAATCTTATTTTTTATATTATAAAATTTCTAAATTGTATCTGTGAAAGGTTGAAAAAGTTGTGGATATCTCCCAAATAATCTTGTATATGTGAATTTTCTTTTGTATTTCCAACAGTTTTTGTGTTACCTATTTTGAAGTTATGTTTTCCCCTGTGAAGGATTCTCGACTATTATATCTTTATTCCAAATACAAGTTTTTTTGTTTTTTTATACAACTTTTATTTTAGGTTCTGGGGTACATGCGAAAGTTTGTTACATCGGTAAACATGTCATGGGGGTTTGTTGCATAGATTATTTCATCACCTAGGAATTAAGCCCAGTACCCAATAGTTGTCTTTTCTGCTCCTTTCCCTCCTCCCACCCTCCACCTACAACTAGACAAACAGCAGTGTCTGTTGTTTGCTTCTTTGTGTTCATAAATTCTTATTTTGCTCCCACTTATACGTGAGAACACATGGTATTTGGTTTTCTGTTCCTGCATTAGTTTGCTGAGGATAATAGCCTCCAACTCCATCCATGTTCCCACAAAAGACATGATCTTGTTCTTTTTTATGGCTGCATAGTATTCCATGGTGTATATGTACCACATTTTCTTTAACCAATCTGTCATTGATGGGCATTTAGGTTAATTCCATGTCTTTGCTCTTGTGAATGGTGCTGCAGTGAACATTCATGTACATGTGTCTTTATGGTAGAATCATTTATATTCCTCTGGGTATATACTTAGCAATGGGATTGCTGGGTCAAATGACTGTTCTGCTTTTAGCTCTTTGAGCAATCACCATACTGCTTTCCATAGTGTTTGAACTAATTTATACTCCCACCAACAGTGTATAAGTGTTCCCTTTTTTCCACAACCTCACCAACATCTGTTATTTTTTGACTTTTTAATACTAGCCATTCTGACAGGTGTGAGATTGGTATCTCATTGTGGTTTTGATTTGCATTTCTCTAATGATCAGTGATACTGAGCTTTTTTCATTTGATTGTTGGTTGCATGTATGTCTTCTTTTGAGACTTGTCTGTTCATGTACTTTGCTCACTTTTTAAAATTTTTTTTTTCTTGTAAATTTGTTTAAGTTATGATATGGTTTGGCTCTGAGTACCCACCCAAATATAATGCTAAACTGTAATTCCCAATGTTAGGGGAGAGACCTGGTGGGAGGTGATTGGATCATGGGGGCAGATTTCCCCCTCACTGTTTTCATGTTAGTTCTCATGAGAGCTGGTGGTTTAAAAGTGTGTGGCACTTTCCCCTTCACTCTCTCTCTTCCTCCTGCTCTGCAGTGTGAAGAAGATGCATTCTTCCTTTTTGTCTTTCACCATGATTGCAAGTTTTCTGAGGTCTTCTGGCTATGCTTCCTGTACAGCCTGTGAAACTGTGAGTCAATTAAACCTCTTTTCTTCATAAATTACCCAGTCTCAGGTAGTTCTTTATAGCAGTGTGAGAACAAACTAATACAGCATCCTTATAGATGCTAGATATTAGACCTTTGTCAGATGCATAGTATGTAAATATTTTCTCCCATCTGTAGGTTGTCTGTTTACCCTTTTCATAGTTTCTTTTGTTGTGCAGAAGCTCTTAAGTTTAATTAGATCCCACTTGTCAATTTTTGCTTTTATTGCAATTGCTTTTGGCATCTTCGTCATGAAATCTTTGCCCATTCCTATGTACTGGATGGTATTGTCTAGGTTGTCTTCCAGGGTTTTTATAGTTTTGGATTTTACATTTAAGTTTTTAATCCATCTTGAGTTAGTTTTTGTATATGGCAAAAGGAAGGGGTCCAGTTGCAGTCTTCTATATAAGGCTAGCCAGTTATCTCAGTACCATTAATTGAAAAGGGGAGTCTTTTCCCCATTGCTTGTTTTTGTCAGCTTTGCAGAAGATCAGGTGGTTTTAGGTGGTGGAGTCTGATTTCTGGCCTCTCTATTCTGTTCCATTGGTCTATGTGCCTGTTTTTGTACCAGTGCCATGCTGTTTTGGTTACTGTAGCCCTGTAGTATAGTTTGAATTTGGGTAGTGTGTTGCCTCCAGCTTTGTTCTTTTTGCTTAGGATTGCCTTGGCTATTCGGGCTCTTGTTTGACTCCATACCATTTAAAAATAGTTTTCTCTAGTTCTGTGAATAATGTCTTCGGTAGTTTGATAGGAATAGCATTGAATCTGTAAATTGCTTTGGGCAGTATGGCCATTTTAACAATATTGATTCTCCATATCCGTGAGCATGGGATGTTTTTCCATTTGTTTGTGTTTTCTCTGATTTCCTTGAGCAGTGTTTGTAGCTCTCATTGTAGAGATCTTTCACCTTCCTGGTTAGCTGTATTCCTAGGTATTTTATTCTTTTTGTGGCAGTTCTGAATGGGATTGACTTTCTGATTTGGCTGTTGGTTTGGCTGTTGTTGTGTATAGGAATGCTAGTGATTTTTGCACATTGATTTTGTATCCTTAAACTTTGCTGAAGTTGTTTACCAGCTAAAGGCAGTTTTGGGCTGAGACTGGGGTTTTATAGATATAGAATTATGTCATCTGCAAACAAAGATAGTTTGACTTCCTGTCTTCCTATTTGAAGAGAGGATGCCCTCTATTTCTTTCTTTTGCCTGATTGCTCTGGCTAGGACTTCCAGTAATATGTTGAGTAGGAGTGGTGAGAGAGTTCATCTTTGTCTTGTGCTGGTTTTCAAGGAGAATGCTTCCAGCATTTGCCTATTCAGTATAATATTGGCTGTGGGTTTGTCATAGATGGCTCTTATTATTTTAGGGATGTTTCTTCAATATCTAGTTTATTGAGAGTTTTTAACACAAAGGGGTATTGAATTTTATCAAAAGCCTTTTCTGTATCTATTGAGATAATCATATGGTTTTTGTCTTTCATCCTGTTTATGTGATGAATCATATTTATTGATTTGTGTATGTTGAATCAACCTTGCATCCTGGGGATGAAGCCTATTTGATCATGGTAGATTAGCCCTTTGATGTGCTTCTGGATCCCATTTGCCAGTATTTTGTTGAGGATTTTTTTTTTTTTTTTGCATTGATATTCATCAAAGATATTGGCCTGAAATTTTCTTTCATTGTTGTGTCTCTTCCAGGTTTTGGTATGAGGATGATATTGGCCTCATAGAATGATTTGGGGGAGGAGTCTTTCCTCAATATTTGGGAATAGTTTCTATAGGAATCGTACCAACTCTTCTTTGTAAATTTGGTAGAATTTGGCTGTGAATCCATCAGGTACTAAGCTTTTTTTTATTGGTAGGCTATTTATTACTGATTCAGTTTTGGAGCTCATTTTCAGTCTGTTCAGGAAATCAGTTTCTTCTTGGAGGAATTTTCTTCTTGGAGAAGAAAACTCCAATTTCTTCTTAGAGAATTTCACCCTCTCTCCAGTCTTGGGAGGGTGTGTATGTCCAGAAATTTATCCGTCTCTTCTAGGTTTTCTAGTTTGTGTGCACAAAGGTGTACATAGTAGTTTCTGATGTTTATTTTTAATTCTGTGGCATCAGTGGTAACATTGTCTTCATCATTTTTAATTATGTTTATTTGGATCCTCTCTATTTTTTCTTTATTAGTCTAGCTAGCGGCCTATCTATCTTACTAATTTTTTCAAAAAAAACAAGCCCTGGTTTTATTAATCTTTTGAATGGGTTTTCATGTCTTGATTTCCTGCAGTTCAGCTCTGTTTTTTTTTTTTTGTCTTCTGCTAGCTTTGTGGTTGATTTGATCTTGCATTTTCTAATTCTTTCAGATGCGATTCTTTAGGTTGTTAATTTGAGATCTTAATAAACTTTCTGATGTGGGCATTTAGTGCTATTGGTATGATTTTGGTTTTTCTGAACTTGCTGAGGATTATAAGTTTTAAGTCCAATGATATGGTCAATTTTAGAGTATGTGCCATGGAGTGATTAGAAGAATGTATATTCTGTTGTTTTTGGGTGGAGAGTTCTGTAGACATGTACTAGATCCATTTGGTCCAATGTTGAGTTCAGGTCCTGAATGTCTTTGTTAATTTTCTGTCTCAATGAACTGTCTAATACTGTCAATGGAGTGTAGGAAGTCTCCCACTATTTTTATTTGAGAATGTCTCTGTCTCTTTGTAGGTGTCTAAGAACTTGCTTTATGAATCTGGGTGCTCTTGCATTGGGTACCTGTATATATAGGATAGTTAGGTCTTCTTGCTGAATTGAACCCTTTACCATTATGTAATGTCCTTCTTTGTATTTTTTGATATTTATTGGTTTGAAGTCTGTTTTGTCTGAAATTAGGATTGCAACCCCTGCTTTCTTCTGTTTTCCATTTGTTTGGTAGATTTTCCTCCATCCTTGTATTTTGAGCCTATGTGTGTCACTGTGTGTGAGATGAGTCTCTTGAAGACAGCATACCAATGGATCTTGCTTTTTTATTTAGCTTGCCACTCTGTGCCTTTAAATTGGGCAGTTTAGCCTGTTTATATTCAAGGTTAGTTTATGTGTGCAGATTTGATCCTGCCATCATGATGTTAGCCGATTATTTTGAAGACTTGTATATGTGGTTACTTCAGAGTGTCACTGGTCTGTGTACTTCAGTGTGTTTTTGTAGTGGCTGGTAATGGTCTTTCCTTTCCATATTTAATACCAGAGGAGCTCCTTTGGGTACTCTTGTAAGGCAGGTCTGGTGGTAACAAATTCCCTCAGCATTTGCTTGTCTGAAAAGAATATTATTTCTTCTTCACTTTGAAACTTTGTTTGGCTAGATATGAAAATCTGGGTTAGAATTACTTTTCTTTAACAATGTTGAATACTGGCCCCTGATCTCTTATGGATTTTAGAGTTTCACCTGAGAGGTCTGCTGTTAGTCTGATGGACTTCCCTTTGTAGATGACCTGACTTTTCTCTCTAGCTGCCTTTAACATTCTTTCTTTTATTTCCACCTTGGAAAATCTGATGATTATGTGTCTTGAGGATGATCTTCTTATGAATATCTTACTGGGGTTCTCTGCATTTCCTAAATTTGAATATTGGCCTCTCTAGCTAGGTTGGGGAAGTTTTCATGGATGATGTCCTATGTTTTCCAAGTTGGTTCCATTCTTCTTTTCTCTTTTGGGGACACCAATCTGTCATATATTTCATTTCTTTACAATATCCCATATTTCCCAGAGGTTTTGTTCATTCCTTTTCATTCTTTTTTTCTCTATTCTTGTCTGCCTGGCTTATTTTAGAAAGCAAGTCTTCAAGCCCTGAGATTCTTTCCTTCACTTGGTCTATTTTCCTATTAATACTTGTGATTGCATTATGACATTTTTGTAGTGTGTTTTTCAGCTCTATCATGTTGGCTATGTTCTTCTCTATACTGGCTATTTTGTCTGTCAGCTCCTGCATTGTTTTATTATGGTTTTTAGCTTCCTTGCATTTGGTTTCAATGTATTCCTGTTGCTCAATTAACTTCATTCCTATCCATATTCTGAATTCTAGTTCTGTCATTTCAGCCATCTTAGCCTCAGCTTGGTTCTGAATCCTTGCTGGAGAGGTGATGTGGTTATTTGGAGAAAAGAAGGCACTCTGGCTTTTAGAATTTTCAGCATTCTTCAGCTGATTCTTTCTCATCTTTGTGGGCTTACCTACCTTCAATCTTTGAGGTTGCCTACTGTGTTAGTCCATTCTGCACACTGCTGTAAAGAACTACCTGAGACTGGTTAATTTATGAAGAAAAGAGGTTTAACTGACTCAAAGTTCCACAGGCTATCCAGGACACATGGTTGGGGGGGCCTCCGGAAACTTACAATCATGATAGAAGTGTGAAGGGGAAGCAAGCACCTTCTTCACATGGTAGAGTGGCGGGAGAGAGAGAGAGTAAAGAGGCAAGTGCTACACACTTTTAAACAACCAAATCTTATGAGAACCTACACACTATCATGAGAACAGCAAGGGGGAAGTCTGCCCCCATGATCCAACCACCTCCTACCAGGCCCCTCCTCCAACACTGAAGATCATAATTCAAGATGAGACTTGGGTGGGCACACAGAGCCAAACTATATCAGTTGCTGACCTTTGGATGTGTGTGTTTTTTTTTTCCTTTTTGATGACCTGGAGGGTTTGATGGTATAAGGTAGATATGGCTTCATTTATGGGAGATATTAGGGGGCCAGCACACAGCTCCCAACCTCTGGATGGTGTGCTCTAACTCTGGGGAACTTGTATTGGTCCCCGACTTTGTTCTCTGGCTTGTTGAGGCTTAGAGTTCACTGCGCTGGGGGCACCAAGGTGCAGCAAAGTGCTAGCTGATGCAGGAGTTCCTTCTTCCTCGTGGGCATTCACCACAGTGGTGGAGGCCTGGCAGCTGGCGGGGAAGCAGGGGGCCTCTGCTGGAGACTGTGTGCTGTTGCACTGGAGGTGGTGTTGGCTTGGGGATGGGTACTGGCTGGAGAGCTCTGGGTGCCTTCTCTGTCCCCCACAAGCAGGAGTGATCACTCAAGGTGTGGGAGTTCTCTGTGCAGTGTTAGCACTAGGGTGTGGTGCTGGTGGTGGTGGGGCTTGTTGGCTCTGTGCCTGCCAAGGCTTCCTCTGCAATAGCTGTTTATTTGGGGGGGGGCAAAGCAGACTTCACTCACATGTGCTGGTGTTGCAAGTAAAACAAAACCTGCCTGTGCAGACACATACCAGCAAAGTGACGTGGGGAGTTGCCATGGGCTCTGGGGGAAAGCTGCCGTATGGGGAGGGAGTATGTGGGCTGGTGTATGGCTGTAAGGGCTGCCTCTCTGGAGCTATCCAGTGTTCGGGCATGGTCCACCTGTGCAGAAGCTATGGTGTGGGCTCCCAGAGCATTCAAAACTGCCCTGTTAACAGGCATGGCCAGGCTGGGCCCTGAGAGAGGCCAGCAGACCAAGGGTTGCTCAGGTCAGACCAGGCCCGTCTGATTTCCAAGACTTCCCTGAACAGATCAAGTCTGACAGTTCTCCTAGGGCTAAAGTCTCTTATGGGAGCAAATCAAGCCTAGAGGGATGGCTGTCCCTGGCTGTGTTCTACTACAGATGCTCTGGCATCAAATCCTCTGGGCTCTACTTCAGCTGGCTTGCTGCCCCACCACTTCTCTAAGCAGCTCTCTCTGCCACCTCAAGTGTCCATAGTAGTTGAAGGGTCCCTTCCTGCCATGGTTTCAAAGGCCCATGGTGAGAGTGGGTTGCTCCTTGCCAGTTTAACTCACCCATTCCCTCAGTGCTGTTGCGGTTCAAAAATGAGTCTGGTGCTCTTAGCCCATGTGGGGTTCCTAGCTTTCTCTCCGTTCAGCCCAGCTTCTGGGTCTTTCCTCCATACACTTTCAGCACCTTCCCTCTGAAGATCTGTTAAAAAACATGGCAGTCATCTCAGTCCCTCCATGGGAGCTGTTTCACTTGTCTGCATCTAGTTGGCCATCTTGCCTTCCCCATGCAAACACTTAATTTAAATCTCCTCCACTGCTGTCTTGAAATTCTTAGTGAGTTTTGAACAAGGAATTCCACATTTTCTTGTTGCATTATGTCCCAAAATTATATTGGCAGTTCTCTTTTGGTTTCTCTGCTATAATCTAGGATTCTCCCATTGGCTGTTTCAGGTCTTCATGATCTAGTCCTCTCCCAGACTTTTTGTGATCCAGCCTAGTCTCAGCTTTCCCTACCTCAGCGTAGCTTCTAGGAACATTCCAGTAGGAGTGCCCTAGCTGTAGACTCTATTTCTGGAGAGTGAAGGGCTAACAGCTATACATTTTTCTGGAGAGTAAAGGGTTAAGTGCTATACACTTAATGTAGGACATTAGTTTTGTCCTAGCTGTAGACTTCAGAGGTTTTTGACTATAAGACATTTTGCTCAAAATTATAATAAAAAATTTTATTAAATATTTAGCATGTTTCAGTCATTTTATGGCTGAACTTATAACTTATTGAAATATTGTGAAAGAAACTCCACCAAAGGAAAATTGCATCAAATCACTGAATAGAATATACACAAGCCTCATTATTTTAATTATTTTCAGAGCTAGTGATTTGTTAATATTTTCAATAACAAACTTTCTGGATGGATGCAAGATGGATCTCAGTTATAAGAATTTTATTTTACAGTAAATGTAGAATTTATTAAGATTAAAATTTTTAATAACAATTTTTGAGTTAAAACATTAGCAGATAAAATAAAGATGATTTACCAAAGAATTTTGAGCTCTAAGTATCTTGAGTGGTCACATTTAATAGTCTGTAACAAAACAAGCTTGTTATATTAGTTATTTTTGCTCACAATTATAATCCAATGCAAAGGTTATTTTTCCTCACATTCATAATAATTTAGGGGTGTTCCTTTTGAAGAACAACTGTCCTCATTTGTATTTTGATTCTTTGGAGTAAATTGTAAAAAATGTAAATTGCAAAATTAAACTTTATATGGAGTAACACCTGTGCTTTTTGTACCCTGCTGCATGGGGTTATGCGTTGTGATTTGATTATTGCTAAATACCAGCTGTTTTGCATGAAAGTTATAAAAACATAGTGATCATAAAGTGATGGTGAAAAATAAAAATTGGAGCATGACCTAAGCTGTTTTTCTCTTTAAAAAATTTATGTTCTGAACTATGATATTTTCCCCTGTATCATAAAAATTTGTTGTATTTGTAAGGAATATGTCTTAAAGAGACCAGAGAAAGATTTAGCCAGAAGTTAGAGGCTTCAGGATAAACCAGATAAGTAGATAATAAATTTGGTTTGAATTATAATGAAAGCTCAAAATGGAACTGCTACAAAATTCAGGACTAATTTAAAAGTCTTTAGTAGTTTATTTATTAGAAGCATATCATCCAACAAATGAATTTGCGGATTAAAGCCTCTGAAAAAAATCATATATAACTATCTTTGTTTATTTTGTGAAATGAGATATATACACAGGATTTATATATCTTTAGCTTTCAGTGAATGAACATTTACCATAAAATGTTGCCAAAAGAAACCAGTTAATGTTTCCACAATTATGTCTCAAGGCAATTAATGCAATTCTTGTGAAGGACAAAGATAAAATTATTGGTCATCTAAACTGATGTACAGAAGAAAATGGAAGGAGGAAGTACATTTGAAGACAGGCACTAAATAAAAGCCTAAAGTCAGAGAAACTGTGTTTACTTTTACTCAAATTTAGATTTTTTTTTTGTTATTTGCTTTTATAAGTATTTAGAGATTGATTCTTAAAGGTTTTATATAGCTATAGTTAATGGCTCTAATAGAGTTTGTCTCTGCTGGAAGTGTCTATAGAATCCAGAATATTAAAGGATATGGAATGACTATGCCTATACTCTAAGCAAGGGATTCTGAACGTATGATTAGCAACAGATGTGTTTACATGAAGGGTTGAGAGTGGATCTCTTGTTGCATGTTTACATTAAGTTCTCATAAAAATCAATTATATTTTTGGGAGACTATTTTGATGTTATTTTGGGGGTTAATGGAGACTAAGTCCTATTAATTATGATATACCTAGATTTTTATACCACTTTAATTATTTTTTCAAATTCCTTTTGATCATTTTGTTGTAAGAAATTGGAAAGGTATGGTATAAATGGGCCTCAGGCCTTCTGTCTGGCCTAACAAACTGTCAGGAAAACTAACCAACTAGCCAGCCATTGAGAACTACTGTTTTCTAATGTTTCATCAGTCCTTTTATATTCCTCAAAACTTGAGAGGTAAGGTATATCTTGATGTGATTTCTTTCTGAGAATAAGACTGTATTTTCCCTTCCTCAGTGAGGTTAGGGAGGGAAAGGACAGGATTCAGTCACCGAATTTACTATCTCTTTGAAAGCCAGTCAAATTTAGCATCGGGTGGTTGTTACTAGCTATCTTTTAATAGGTGGTACTTATTTATGAGTATATAGACATACTATACAGATTCTTCTCCAGAATGGGTCATTGGTTCAATGCCTACTAAGTAAGTGATAGCCACTGTGTTAAGTATTTTAAATATGTGATTTTATTTAATGCTTTCTAGTCACCAAACATTTGCTTCTGTTAATTATCCTAATTACTGCCTAAGGTATATATTTTTAGCCTTTTATATTTTCACATTTATATTGATGTATATTAAAATGGAGTGCTAAATGTGAAGAATGTATTATTGAACTTTAAAAAAGTCATCAACAAAACATAAAAACATATTTAATTTAAAACTCTATCATACCTATATGTATATCCTTAGACAGAGATCTGAAAGGATGTTGACCAAAATATTAACAGTGGCTAGTTACCACTTGGGGTGGAGCAGGAGGCAGGTGTGAGAACTCAATTAATAGATAATATTTTTAAAATGAAAAAAACTAATGAGCTATTTTTATTGTAATACAAGACTAAAGTTAGTGAATATTAGCTTTGACTTGATAAGTTCAGGTATATTCCTCATCTCAAGAGATAAACAAATAAGAGCCATAAGAAACTTGTCTCCAATAAATGCCTTAAGCAATAAATTACATGGATTGCCAAAAAGAAGGGCTTCTGGGGATAGAGGGTTTCAATCTCTATCATATCCTTTTTCCCCACTTGAGAAATTTTTGGGAGATAATAGGTTTTATAGTTGAATGTGAATTTGTTTCTTTTTTTTTTTTTTTTTGAGACAGAGTTTTGCTCTCGTGGCCCAGGCTGGAGTGCAATGATGCAATCTCAGCTCACTTCAACCTCCGCCTCCCGTGTTCAAATGATTCTCCTGCCTCAGCCTCTTGAGTAGTTGGGATTATAGGCTTGCACCACCACACCTGGCTAATTTTGTATTTTTAGTAGCGACAGCGTTTCACCATGTTGGTCAGGCTGGTCTGGAAATTCTGACCTCAGGGAATCCACCTGTCTCCCAAAGTGAGGCTTGAGCCACTGCGCCCAGCGTGTTTCCTATTTATGTATATTGGCCAGAGCTTTTGTTCCTCTATGATGCTCTCAAGCAATATGTCCTCTCTTCTTCTGCTTGACAATATGCAGAACCTCCAAAATCTTTGTCTTAGGTTTGTTTCCCATTGCTATAACTGATTATTACAAACTAGGTAACTTATAAAGAAAATAAGTTTATTTGGCTCATGATTCTGGAGACTGGGAAGTTGAAGAGCATAGCACAAGCATCTGGCAAGGTGTTTGTGTTATATCATAATATGGTGGAAAGTATCACGTGATGAGAGCAAGGGAGCATGTCAGCTCAGGTCTGTCTTCCTTCCTATAAAGCCACTAGTCCTATCATGGGGTTCCCACCTTGATGACTTTATCTAATCCTAATTGCCTCCCTAAAGCCCCATTTCCCAATGCCATCAACATATGAATGTGGGGATTAAATTTTCAGCAGAAAAAATTGGAAGGACATATTCAAACCATAAAAACCTTCATTTTGTGATCGTTTTTCTTCTGTGCTAGAAAAAAATTTTGCAAATATTGATAAGGTAGCATCAGTATAGATGATCAGGTAGGTACTTCAGTTTTGTTAGGATCATCTTTAACTTTGATAGAATTAATTTTAACTTTGGCAGATTAGGGAACTAACTTCCTTTGGCATTTCTAGCTAGCTACCTAAGGTGGATCTCTCATTAGTTAGGCAAAGATGTGAACAGGATTCAGCAATTGTTTGGATTTCTGTTGATGGGGAGTGAAGACAGAGAATTCCTATTCTGCCATCTTCCTGACATCAATTTTTTTCCTTTTTTTTTTTCTTTTTTTTGAGATGGAGTCTCTCTGTGTCGCCCAGGCTGGAGTGCAGTGGCACGATCTCGGCTCACTGCAAGCTCCGCCTCCCAGGTTCATGCCATTCTCCTGCCTCAGCCTCCCGAGTAGCTGGGACTACAGGCGTCCGACACCACGCCCGGCTAATTTTTTGTATTTTTAGTAGGGACGGGGTTTCACCATGTTAGCCAGGATGGTCTTGATCTCCTGACCTCATGATCCACCCGCCTCAACCTCCCAAAGTGCTGGGATTACAGGCGTGAGCCACCGCGCCCGGCTTCCTTTTCGTTAAAAACATTGGTATGATTTTTCTCTTTTATTAGCCTCACTTTTTTGATGATTGTCTTTTAGCAGATCTAGTTCAAGGTGGAAACCTTAGAGATGAGCTTTTGTAGGAATTCAGGCTCTCCCTCAGATTCAATGTTCCTCAACTCCTGTGAGTATGGTCAGAGGCTGTAATGAGCTCTCTGTCAGATGCCTTCTCACTGAAAAGCAGCCTGGCCAGTATAAGCAAGGATTCAGGAAGAGAGAGGGGCAGAACCCCCTTTTTTTTAAAAAATAAAAAACTTAATGTGAATAATGCAAAACAAACACAAAAGTGGAGAGACTATTATCATGAATCCTCATGTGCCCATCACTCAGCTTTAATAATTTTCAATTCATGGTCAACCATGTTTTATTTCTACTTTCCTTCTTCAATTATTTTGATGTAAATACCAGATATATATTTTAATCTGTAAACATTTTAATATGTATACCTCAAACATAATCACAATGCTAATATCATACTTATAAAATGAAAATAGTTTAATATCCTCAGCTAGCTTCTTTGTGTTCAAATTTTCCCAATTGCCTCATATTTTTAATAAATTTTGTTTTAATCAGAATCCAAATAAGATCCATACATTGTAATTGGTTGATATAGTTCTTAATTTGTAAAAATACATATGCTTCCTCTCTATCTCTTCATTATATTATATTTATCAAAATAAGTTTATTATTCTCTTGAATTTCCTAGTCTGGCTTTTCTGAGTATTTCCCAATGGTGTCTTTTAGTATGTTTCTTTGTCTTTTGTATTTTCTATAAATTTGTAGACTAGAGGCATAATCAGATTAATGCACAATCCTTTCAGCAAGACTGCTTTGTAGATGGTATTGTGTACTAAAAAAATCAGGAGGGACATAAATGTTTGTTTTCTCTCTCTTTGTAATATTGGTGGCCATTGATGATCAAAATCTAGACCTATTATTTATTAGGAGTTGAAGAATGGCCATAGCCTATAAATTTTAGTCTTATTAGTTGAAATAAAACTGTTTACTGTTGGAACTGTGGTATAGTACATATAGAAAAGGCAAGATACATGCTTGATTTTTAAAATTTATTGCTTTTCAAAAGATAAATTGTTGCTTAGCATCCTCCAATGGTGATCATTTATTTTTTAAAAACTATCATTATGGATTCATAGAGTTAAATATATGTGTTTCAATAAGTATTCTTACTGCTGCTCAATATGTTCTGTTTTTGATAGTTGGGAGCCTTTGGATTTAGCTCCTGGGTTCTTTTTACATAAACCAAGCAATCTTTGATTCCTTCCTTGCTTTCTGGTATAATAAAATGTTTAGTGTTATCCTTAGTGTTTATTTTTATTCTGAAGCTGAGGAAGCTCAAGCTCATGCAGGTTAAGTAATTCAACCAAAGTTTTATAGGTAGTAAACAACGGGCTTGATATTCTGACCCAGCTACATTTTATTCTAAAACTTCAAGTCGAGTGTTCATTAGAGACCCTTCTACCCCACAAATTTAATTCTTATTTAGCATTATTTAACTAATTATAATTTTGACAAATTCTGCTTTAAAGGAAAAAGGAATTAAGTTTTTTTGTTTTTCTTTTTAAGCAAAAACTCTTTACTTTTAAGAAAAAGGTATAATTTTTTCATTTACTATTCTTGGCATAAATTTTGATTTTTTCCAGTGAAACCAAAATCTCCTGAACCCCCTTCAGTATCATCCAAGTCTTGAATATCTCTTTATGTATAAAAAATTCATTCATAAATGAGCTGTGCAATCCAATCATTTTTTTGACTTCAAACTTTTCTTTGCCAAAATTAAACATTATATCACCAAAATTTCCTCTGTAGTCTTTATATGACACCAGCTCCTACATCTATAAAGTGTTTTGCAGCCAAGCCAGACCATAGAGCAACTATTCCATAACATCCACATGCAAGACATATCTGGATGTCTGTTTTCACAAGAACTTTGTCCATAGGTAGTATTGTATAATAATAGGCACTGTATAGGTCATAGTCTGTGGTCCCTGTGGATCCCTGAGTTGAGTCTGCGGTGTGCTCAGGGAGCCAGGCAAAGTGGGGCTGCATGCCACTCTCCTCCGCAGGGCTGGCCTGCTTCTTGAGGGAAATGGCAGGTGTCTCTTCAGAGCAGGGCATGGTAGAGCCAGAAAGCAAGCGGAGGAGACAGCCCAGGGAACAAGAGAGCACAGGATGAGCACTGCAGCAGGGAACCCACCAAGATCTCTCAAAATTTTTTATGTGTACTTTCTTTTGTTTTCTGCATCAAAAAGCCTACATATAACATTAACTGCTCTTTCTAATTTAAGATAAACTTTGTTCTTCAGATAGGATTAGTTGCTTTGCTACTTTCTCTAATTATATGAACTCTAATCCAGGATAGTGTCTTATTATTCTTGAAAACCTGGAGTTCCTCTGTAAATTCTTTTTCCTATTTTATCTTATTTTATCTTGTAGATTAAAAGAGAAAGCCAAGAGAATCTGGGGAAGATTATAATACATTGCTTCATCCTTTCCAAGCTGGAGAGTTATGCCTTCTGCCCCCTTGGTCTGTACATTCCCCAGGATATTTATGTGCACTAGAATTACACTTAAAAAAACCATACTTTTGTCCCTAGCATCTGAGTCAGTAGGGTTGGTAGTCACTTGTATAGTTTTAGAGTTCTTCTGGTGACCTTAATACTACGTTTAGTTGAGAAATACTGTCTCCGGTCTCTATAATCTCTGTGAGAGTTTTCTTTTTATCAGGAAAAATGTTGTCATCTACATTTATGTATCACGTATCCACTTATTTTTTTAGCTCGTGTTTAATCCATACTTTATTAACATTTTAAAATCTCAGAATAAATTCTTGAAAAGTTTGCAATGCAGAAAAATATGAAGAATATTATAAAAATTGTTGTATTTAAATACAGAAGTTTCCTTTGGTTATTTCTAAAAATACAAGACCTACCTTTTCCTTGTGGCTGGCTCTAGCAATAAAACCAGGTCTTCAGCTTGTCTTTCAAAGGAGTTTGTTCACGTATTGAGTGCTCCAACTTTTATAGCTCCTACATGAGGGATTGGCTTCTAAATCATCTAGCTGTGGGAACTGATAGGCCTCTACACTTGTGAGTCTTCTAGGACCACAGAGAATAAAGATGTGGATTTAAACAGGCGCATGAGCACTTCCAGCAGCTATCCCATGAATTTAATGCAGAGTGAATAGGCAGAAACTCCTAGATCCCCGTTTCTCCCTGGAAGGGATTTGCCTGCACAATTTCCAAGCTGCTGCCTGTGGGTCAGGTTTCTAACTTGCCTGCATCTGGGAGCTGATGAAACAGGTAGACCTCTAGGGAAGTTTAAATAAGTGTATGGGCGCTCCTCATGCTTTTTATCCCTGTCCTGCTTCAGTGATAAAATCAGGTCTCCAGCTTCTCCTTGTCAGTTTATCCACACATAAGCATGCAGCTTTTAAAGCTCCTACTTGAGGGGCTGGCTACTTGAATCACCTAGCTCTGGGGCTGAATGGTTCTTGGCATTTGGGAGTTCCCTGAGACCACATAGAACGAAGAGGTGGGTTTAAATGGATGTGTGAACATTTCTAGTGGCTACTCCTTCTGGCTAGTGCAGAGCAAGAAGGCTACAACAGCTAGCTCCCAATTTCTCCCTGGAAGGGGTTTGACTACACACCTAATGTCCTAACATTACCAGCTGCTGCCTGTGGGTCGGGCCTTTAATTAGCTCACATCTGGCAGCTGATGAAACAGGCTATTTGTATTTCTCTGGGAGACTAAATGAGTGTGTGGGAAATTTCTGTAGCTCCTCCTTGTGGTTCACTCAAGAGATAGAACCAAGACTCCAGCTATTCCACCTGTTTCTGAGAGCAGATGGAAGCCAGGGGTGACAAAAAGCAAAGCAGTGGGTTTAAAGAGTGTGTGGTCTGAATGAGAGTGGAGATGTTTGCCACTGATCCTCTCTCCATCTTAGAGCAGAGTGAGTGAGATAAAATTAGCTACCAGTTTCTCCCTGAGGAGAAAAGGAACTGGAACACATGTCTAACTCCTCAACTTTTTTGGCCGCATCTTGAAGGACTTAATTCCATACTGACTTTCTAGGGGCACTGAATGGGCTTGGCACACCCTAATCTCCTGGGGGACGGTAAGAGCAAAGATGAGATTTTGGACAAGCTCACTGGTTTCAGAGGCACCCAGAATCTCTGGCCAGGCTGATTGGTTAGGTTCATCTCCTACACATGGCCAGTCTGACGAGACTGGGAGAGTTATAGTCTAATATGCCAAAAGCAATAAAGAGAGTCAAGGAAGATGAAGAAATAGGGAAATATGTTCCAAATGAAATAACAAAGCTCCAGAAACTGGCCCTCATGAAATTTAGATAAGTAATTTATCTAACAAAGAATCCAAAATAATGGCCATAAGGATCCTTACTGAGATCAGGAGAGCATTGTATGAACAATGTGAGAATTTCAACAGAGATAGAAAAAAGTCAGACAGAAGTGATAGAGCTGAAGAATCCAGCAACTGATCTGAAAAATTCAGTGGAGATGTTCAATAGCAGACTAGAGAGAACAGAAGAAATGATCAGTGAATTTGAAGACAGGTCATTGGAAATTTTCTAATCAAAGGAGCCAAAAAAAAAAAAAAGAATGAAAAAACTATGAAGATCACTTAAGGGACTTATGGATACCACTCAGCAGAACAATGTATACATTATTTGAATTAAAGAAGGAGAGAAGAGAAAGAGGAAGGGATAGAAAGCTTATTCAAAGAAATAATGGCTGAAAAATTTCCAAACCTAGGGAAGAAAATAGTAATCCAGCTCCAGGAAGCCCAAAGGACACCAAATAAAATGAATGCAAAGAGGCACAACATATACAAGTGGTCAAATGCTAGAGAATTTTGAAAGCAGCTAGAGAAAAGCAACTTGTGTACATGGGAGCGCCATAAGACAATCAGCAGATTTATTAAAATAGATAAATAAATAAATAAATATTTTTTAGCAAAAATCTTGCAGGTCAGAAGGGAGTAGGGTAATATAATCAAAGTGCTAAAAGAAAAAAATGGTCACCCCCAAATACTATATGAGCAAACCTATCCTACTAAAATGAAGGGGAGATAAGGACTTTTTCAGGCAAATAAAAGCCAAGGGAGTTTATCACCACTAGACTTGTTTTACAAGAAATGCCAAAGGGAATTGTTTTTTCAAGTTTGGTGTTAAGTTTATTCTATTTTCTGTATAACTTTAAGTACATGAAGTTTATTTCCACAGGCCTCAGGAAATGGATAGAAATCACAGGACAATCTCTCTTCCCACCAAAAAAAGTTGGATATTTTGGTGTTTGTCTTAGAGGGAAAAAACTGAAATTTACATTAGCAGTGCTATGCAAGATTCTGACATAAATCAAGACCTAAAACCAGCGTGCAGTGGAGGTTCTAGTCCTCTGTTCAGGTGCTTGGACAGAAGCCATAAGCTGATGAGCATGACAGGGAAAAGGAGGCAGTGAAGACAGGTGACAGGCACCTAGCAGGGAAGGAGGATTCAGGAATGCCAGACTCCTTGGAATGGGGTGTTGTTTTTCCTTTTTTTTTTTTCCTTTTAAAGTCATCTCTGTAGGAAGGTGCTGGGCAGGGATCCCAGAGAAAGCAAGGGTCCAAGACTCCTTTAGCTGCCCTGGATGAAGGGCACTGCTACAACAGCTAGTACTGGAGGCTTTCCTGTCTCATGGTGAGGCAGACCTAGGATAGAATAGAGAATAAAAGGAATGCTTATGGGAAACAATTTTGTGTGGAATGCTAGATGGCCAAGCCTCAGCCTTCGGTCCAGTGCAACCCTTGCCTCACTTGTCAACAGTGAAAAATTAGTTTGATTAGAAGAACCATCTGGAAACATACCAGCTTCTGCTACCTTTCATGCTCATTGTTAGAAAAAGATTAACCAGTGTGAACATTCTGATCTGTTAATTCCTGGGACTGTTTTCTTCCCAATAGACTGTTTATTGGTAGAATAACCCCCAAAAACTCAAAGCTAAAATGCATCATCATCAGTCCTGGTCAGCAGTTCCTTAAGAATGGACTGGCGGCATGGTTGAGCTGATATGGAAAAGCTGCACCTTCCTGCAGAAGATGAACTGACCTGCTCTCCCACCCCAAATCTCTCAGCCTGAGGTATATTTCAGTGAAGGCAGGTAGCTGTGCTTCTCAGAGCAGAAAGGTAAGTGCAGAAAGGTAGAGAAAATCTAGAAAAGAACCATCTTGATACAGATTTATCCCAAGGTGTGAAGGGAGGGCAAAGAACCCAGTGGCACTTCGCTTATCCAGCAATTTCTGTCACTGTTGTGACCAAATTGCTAAAGAGAATTTTTAAAGTTGAGATGAAAGGATGCTAAACAGAAACACAAGAGTGTAGGAAAGTATGAAACTTGTTGGTAAAGGTAAATACATAGATCAAAAGAAAGTAGTATATTACTATAATAGTGATGAGTAAATCACTTTTAATTCTACTATAAAAGTTAAAAAGTATTAAAGACAATGGTAACTAAATTATGCTAATATATACATAACAAATATATGTAAAATTTGACAGCAATAGCATATATTGTGAGGGGAGGAGAGGTAAATTGTAGCTGGAGGTCATTATCCTTAGCAAACTAATGCAGGAACAGAAAACCAAATTCTGTTTGTCCTCACATATAAGTGGGAGCTAAGTGATGAGAACTCATGAACACAAAGAAGGGAACAACAGACACTGGGGCCTACTTGAGGGTGGAGGTGGGGAGGAGGGAGAGGAGCAGAAAAAATAATCACTGGGTACTAGACTTAGTGCCTGGGTGACAAAAAATAATCTGTACAACATACTCCCATGACATGAGTTTACCTATATCACACACCTGCACATGTACTCCCAAACCTAAAAGTAAAAAATAAAAATAAAATAAATTCATAAAAGAATTTAGACAAATAATCCTAATTGTTTTAAGTAATTTTTATTAAAGAAAAAAGATGAAAGTATTAAAGACAATGATAACTAAAGTATGTTAATGCATATGTAATATAAATACATGTAAATTTTACATCAATAGCATATAATATGCGGGAGGAGAGGTAAATTGAAGAGTACTTGGATGCAAGGGAAGTTACATTGTTATCAGCCTAAAATAGACTATTATAAAATATTTTATGTAAGCCCCTTGGTAACCACAAGGAAAATACTTATAAAAGTTACACAACAGATAAAGTAATCCAAACTGTCAATACAAAAAAACACAAAAGACAGCAAGAGAAAAAGAGGGACAAAAGAACTACAAGACAAATAGTTAATAAATAGCTAAGAAAATAGCAATAGTAAATCTTTATTAATAATTATTAAAGATGTATATGAAATAAGCTCTACAATTAAAAAGATAATGGAGTGATGACTAGATTAAAAACAACATCCAACTGCGTGCTGTTATAAGAAACTCACTTTAGATTCAAGGATACACATATGCTAAAAGTGAAAAGATGGAAAAGGATATTCCATGCAAATTGTAAATGAAATAAAAGAGGAATGGCTGTAGTTATGTTAGAAAAGTACGCTTTAGTAAAAAAACTATCTTTAGAGACTAAAAGGTTACTTCACAATGATGAAAGGGTCAATTCAGTAGGAAGATATAACCATTGTAATATATGCACCCAACATTTGAGTCCTTAAATATATATAGCAAATATTGACAGATCTGAAATGATAAATTGATAGCAATATAATAATAGTAGGACACTTCAATACCCTTCTTACAATTTGATAATAGTGGGGGACTTCAACACCCCACTGACAACACTAGACAGATCATTGACACAGAAAATCAACAAAGAAACACTGGACTTAAATTGGACTTTAGACCAAATGGACCTAATAGAATATTCTACTCAATAACTGCAGAATATATACATTTTTTCTCATCAGCACATGGAACACTTCCAAGATAGATTTTTTCAGGTCAGAGAAGAAGTTTCAATAAATTTTTGAAAATCAAAATTATAATACATATTTTCTTAACCCATATTGAATTAAAAGAGAAGTCAATAACAATAGGTGCTCTTGAAACTTTACAAATACATGGAGATTAAACAACAGGCTCCTGAAGAATGCAAAATTAAGATAAAAATTGATTTTTTTTGAAATGAATAAAAATGGGGACACAACATACCAGAACATCTGGGACACAGCAAAAACAGTGTTAAGAGGGAAGTTTATAGTGTTAAATGCAAACATAAAAAGAAACACCACAAATTAGTAACCTACTGTTACACCTTATGAGTCTAGAGAAACCAAAGCAAACCAAACCCAAAGCTAGCAAAAGGAAAGAAAGAACAAAGATCAGAGTAGAACTATATAAAATTGAAGTAAAAAAAGTACAAAAAAATCAATGAAATGAAAAGTTGTGTTTTTGAAAAGACAAAATTGATAAACCACTCACTAGACTTACCAAAAAAAACAGAGAAAATCCAAATAAAGAATCAGAAATGAAAAAAGACACACTTATGAATGATCTCATAAAAATACAAAAGATTATCAGAGACTGCTATGAATGACGATATGCCCACACACTTAGAAAACCTAGAGGAAATGGATAAATTCCTGGAAACATATTATTTCCAGATTGAACCACGAAGAAACAGAAATTCTAAACAGAGCAATAACAAGTAGTGAGATTGAATCAGTAATAAAAAATCTCCTAAGAAAAGAAAGCCTAGGACCAGATGGATTCATAGCCAAATTCTACCAAACATACAAAGAAGAACTTGTACCAATTCTGCGGAAATTATTCCCATGTGTTGAAGAGGAGGAAATCCTCCCTAACTCATTTTACAAAGTCAATGTCACCCTGATAGCAAAGCCAGACAAGGATATAACACAAAAAGAAAACTACAGAACAATATCTCTGATGAACACAGATGCAAAAATCTCCCACAAAATACTAGCAAACTGAATCCATGAGCACCTCAAAAATGTAATACACCACGATCAAGTGGGTTTTATTCCAGAAATGCAAGGAGGGTTCAACATATACATATCAATAAATGTGATTCATTGCATAAACAAAATTAAAAACAAAAAACTATATGATCATCTCAATAGATGCAGAAGCAGCATTTGATAAAATTTAGCATCACTTCATGATAAGAACCCTCAAAAACTAGGCATAGAAGGAACACATACCTCAAAATGATAAAAGCCATAGGCAACAAACCCACAGCCAACATCATACAGAATGGAGAAAGGTTAAAATATCCTCTTCTCCCACAAGAAGTGGAACAAGACAGGATGTTCAATTTTACCACTCCTATTCAACATAGTATGGAAAGTTCTAGCCAGAGCAATCAGGCAAGAGACAGAAAGAATACATCTGAATTGGAAAAGAGGATTTCAAATTATCTCTGGTTGCTGATATGAAATTGTGTGTAGAAAACCCTAGAGCCTTCTCCAAAAGACTCTTAACATTTGATAAATGAATTCAGTAAAGTTTCGAGATATGAAATCAGTGTACAAAAATCAGTAGCATTTCTATATACCAAAAATAAGCTGAGAACCAAATCAAGAAATCAATCCCATTTACAATAGCTACAAAAATAATAAAATACCTAGGAATATATTTAACCAAGGAAGTGAAAAGAAAGGAAAATGGTGAAACACTGATGAAAGAAATCGTAGATGACACAGACAAATGAGTAAGTATCCCATGCTCGTGAAATGGGAAGAATCAATATTGTTGAAATACTGATTCTTTTGATTCAATGTTGATTCTTAAAGCAGTCTACAGATTTAATGCAATTCCTGTCAAAATACCAATGTCGTTTTTCACAGAAGTAGAAAAAATAATTCTAAAAACTCATATGGAAACAAAAAAGAGCTCGACTATCCAAGGCAATCCTAAGCAAAAGGAACAAAGCAGGAGACATCACATTGTCTGACTTCGAATTATAGTCTTAATACAAGGCTAAGTAACCAAAATAGCATGGTACTGGTATAAAAATAGACACATAGATCAATGGAACAGAATAGAGAACCCAGAAATAAACCCACATACCTACAGCCAACTTATCTTTAATAAAGTCAACAAAAACATATATAGGGAAAAGGTCCTTAGTCAATAAATGGTGCCGGGAAAATTGGCTAGCCATACTAAAAGAGTGAAATTGGACCCATATCTCTCACCATATAAAAAAATCAACCCAAGATGAATTCAAGACTTAAATGTAAGACCTGAAGCTCTAAAAATCCTAGAAGAAAACCTAGGAAAAATTTTTCCGGACATTGGCCCAGGCAAAGAATTTATGACTAAGACCTTAAAAACACAAGCAACCAAAACAAATAGGCAAATGGGACTTAATTAAACTAAAAAGCTTCTGCATAGCAAAATAAATAATCAACAGAGTGAACAGACAACTTGCAGAATGAGGGAAGATATTTTCGGACTATGCATCTGACAAGGGACTAATATCCATAATCTACAAGTAACTCAAACAAGAACGACAAACCCTAAAAGCCCCAATAAAGAGTGGGCAAAGGGCATAAAGAGACATTTTTCAAAAGAAGATATACAAGTGGCCAACAAAGATATGAAAAAATGTTCAATATCACTAATCATCAGAGAAATGCAAATCAAAACTACAATGAGATATTTTCTTACACCAGTCAGAATGGCTATTATTAAAAAGTCAAAGAATAACAGATGTTGGCAAGGATGCAGAAACAAGGGAACAGTTATACACTATTGGTAGAAATGTAAATTAGTACAGCCTTTATGGAAAATAATATGGAATCTTCTTAAAGAAATAAAATTAGAATTACCATTTCATCCAGCAATCCCACTACTAGATATCTACCCAAAGGAAAATACATCATATATAAAAAAGATTCCTGACATATATTTATCACAGCACTCTTCACAATAGTGAAGTCATGGAATCAACCTAAGTGTCCATCAGTGGATGACTGGATAAAGAAAATGTGAGATATATATATATATATGTATCACATATGTAATTTTAAGGGGTGCAAAGGCAGTTTTGTTACATGAATATACTGCACAATGGTAAATATTGGGCTTTTAGTGTAACTGTCACCCAAATAATGTGCATTGCACCCATCCCTCATCCCTCTTCCACCCTCCACTTTTGTGTATACATATTTACACAAAAGAAATATGGTATATATATATGTATTTCTTGTATATATATATATACACAAAAGAAATATGTATATGTACACAGACATTGGACACTCCCAAAAGTGGGAGGGTGGGATAGATATTTATTCACAAATGATCTATTTAGAAAGTTAAATAAATGGTCATATTTTAAATATTTTTAAAACTTTTTTTCTCCCACGGGGGATTTATTCACATTCATACAAGTAGGATTGTTTTAATTAGTTTTCCTCCAGTGTAGAATTCTATTGTATGACTAGTACAGTTCATTTATATATATACATACTAATATACATTTAGTTTGATTCTAATTTTTTGCTATTACAAATAATGTTGCACTAACCGTCTTTGCCTGTGTCTTTGATACACAAGGGTATATAACCAGTCAGCAATTGCTGGTTTGTAAGGTATGTGCATTTTCAACTTTATTAGCTATTACCAATTTCTTTCCTAATGTGGTTATACTTACTTATTATTTTAACGTTGGGCAGAGTTCTTGTCTCAGCAATCCTCATCAACACTTAGTATTTTCTGACTTCAGAGTGATGGGTATGTGTATCTCTTAGGTTCTATTTCTCTTTTTACTATGTAAGTTGACATTGTTTCCTATGTTTATTTGCTGTTTCTATTTCCTCTTCTATGAATTCCTGTTCATATTCTCTGCCTGTTGATTTTTAGGCAGTTGTTATGTATTCTGGATACCAGTCCTAATGTCTTTTAGATGTGTTTAATATTTTCTAATCCTTGGCTATTCGTTTTACTTTGTTCATGGACTTTCTCTACAGATTTTTTTCAGTATGATCAAATTTATTAATTTTTTTATTCACAGGTTTTATTTTTTGGTATCTTTTTTGAGAAATATTTTTCCTACCTTGTTGAAATAAGGCTATTTTATATTTTCTTTTGAATTCTTGCTGAGATTTGACATTTATGTGGAACACTTTTTTTTGTGTGCATGGGATGTGAGATTCTCTTATTTGTGTTTAAAAGCAGTTACCAAAATATGCCTACGTTACATACTCTTTTCTCCACTGATTTGTAATGGTGCTTCTGTAATATACATTGTACTAGTAAATGAAATAAAATAAAAAAAAATTGTTTCCACTTCTGAGATTTCTATTTGGTTCTACTGATCTGTTTCTAATCTCAAACCAATACCACACTATTTTTAACTTTACAGTTTAACAAATCTTGTATCAAATGGACTAAGATCCCCTATACTGCCCTCACCTTTAATTCTTCCATATGATATATTTCTTGGCTTTTCATAGACATATGATCTTCCGTTATTAATTTTAGAATCTGTTTGTCTCAGTCAAAAAACCAAAACAAGCCAGGTGCAGTAACATGTGCCTGTAGTCCTAGGTACTTGGGAGGCTGAGGTGGGAAGATAGCTTTAGCCCAGGAGTTCAAGGCTAGCCTGGGCACCATAGCAAGACCCTGTCTTAAAAGAAAAATTAAAAAAATAAAAAGCAAAAGCAAAAAACAAAAGCTTCATTTGGATCACATTTATTATACAATCGTCACATCTAAACCATGCTATATCTCTCTGTTTAGATCTATATTTATCTTCTTTCATGATATTTACAAATTTTTCCTCAAAGGTCTTGTACATATTTGTTAAATTTATTTCTAGACACCATGTAGGCTTTTATTTGCTGTTGCAAATTACATCTTTTTAAATCTGTATTTTCTTATGAATTATTGTTGGTATGTAGGAACAATGTTGATTTATGTATTTTGTTCTTTGATCCAGCAACTCTTTAACTTGCTTATGGTTTTTCTATAGGAAGAGTTCCTTAAAATAATAACTTTGAATATTCTTTTTTAATTCTTTTGTGTTTTCCTTGAATTGTCTTCCTCTTTGCTTTCTCACTCCCTTACTCCTTTCCTCTTTCCCTTTCTTTTTTTCCTTTCATTACATCCACTAAGACATACTATGTTGCGTATCAGTGATAGACATCTTTGTCTTCCTGATAAATAGAAATGCTTATTAAATTTTACTTATAGGTATGATGCTGTGGGTTTTTGGGACATATCTTTTATTATCTTCTAGCCTTAATTTTGCTGGCTTAAAAAATACTCATTAGTGTGTGTTGAAATTTATTAATTTTGTATATACATTAAGATGTTTATAAGACTTGTCTCCCTTAATTTGTTTGGGTCATAAAGTATGTGAATACATTTTTCTTGATATTAAAGCATCTTGCATTTGTTATATATTAGTAGTTTTTAAATTTACTGGTACGTTTGCATATGTGTTCATAAGTGGGATTGCTACATGCTTTTCTTGTGTTCTCCATTTTTGGTTTTGGTATGAAGATTTTATAAGTGTTCCCTCTTTTTTTCACTCATTGGAAAAGTTAGCACAAATAGGGAAATTTTCTTCCTTGAAGAATTATTAGAAATTGTTTATAAAACTACCTGGGCCTGGGTGTTTCTTCTTGGGAGAGATATTTGTCTATTACTTCAGATTATTTAATCGACATTGATTTATTCAGGTTTACTATTTTTTAAAGTTAATTTTGCTAATTCTAGTTTGCATAAAGTGGTCAATTTTCGCTAACTTGAAAAATTTTGTGGCTTAAAGCATACAATTTTTATGACTAAGAAAACTATATTTTTAGTTGTGTTGATTTTTTATTCTTAAAATAATTTTTTATACCTTTAATCTTTGTGTCTTCTTTTTTAACTTTTATTTTAAGTTCAGTGATACAAGTGCAGGTTTGTTACATAGGTAAACTTGTGTCAAGGGGGTTTGTTGTACAAACTATTTTATCACCTAGGTATTAAGCCTGGTACCCGTTAGTTATTTTTTTCTCATCCTCTCCCTCTTCCCACCCTCCACCCTCTGAAAGACCTCAGTATGTGTTGTTCCTCTCGGTGTCCATGTGTTCTCATCATTTAGCTCCCACTTATAAGACAGAATACGTGGTATTTGGTTTTCTGTTCTTGTGTTAGTTTGCTGAGAATAATGACCTCCTGCTCCATCCATGTCCCTGCAAAGGACATGATCTTGTTCTTTTTTATTGCTGCATAGTATTTCATGGTATACATGTACCACATTTTCTTTATCTAGTCTATCTTTGATGGTCATTTAGGTTGATTCCACGTCCTTGCTATTGTGAATGGTGTTACAGTGAACATATGCATGCATGTATCTTTATAATAGAATAATTTATATTCCTTTGTGTATATACCCAGTAATGGGATTGCTGGGTTGAATGGTATTCTGTCTTGAAGTCTTTGAGGAATCACCATACTTTCTTCCACAATGGCTGAACTAATTTACAGTCGCACCAACAGTGTATAAGTGTTCCTTTATCTCGAAAACTTCACCAGCATCTGTTATTTTTTTGACTTTTTTTCTCTTTTTTTGAGTATTGTGTTTTTAAAAATTTATTTATTTTTATTATACTTTAAGTTCTGGGGTATATGTGCAGAACATGTAGGTTTGTTACAGAGGTATACATGTGCCATGGTGGTTTGCTGCACCCATAAACCCATCATCTACATTAGGTATTTCTCCTAATGCTATCCCTCCCCTAGCCCCCACCCCTCGACAGGCCCTGGTGTGTGATGTTCCCCTCCCTGTGTCCATGTGTTCTCATTGTTCATCTCCCACTTCTGAGTGAGAACATGCAGTGTTTGATTTTCTGTTCTTGTGTTAGTTTGCTGAGAATGATGGTTTCCAGCTTCATCCATGTCCCTGCAAAGGACATGAACTCATCCTTTTTTATGGCTGCATAGTATTCCATGGTGTATATGTGCCACATTTTCTTTATCCAGTTTGTCATTGATGGGCATTTGGGTTGGTTCCAAGTCTTTGCTATTGTGAACAATGCCGCAATAAACATATGTGTGCATGTGTCTTTATAGTAGAATGATTTATAATCCTTTGGGTATATACCCAGTAACTGGATTGCTGGGTCAAATGGTATTTCTAGTTCTAGATCCTTGAGGAATCACCATACTGTCTTCCACAATGGTTGAACTCATTTACATTCCCACCAACAGTGGAAGAGCGTTCCTATTTCTCCACATCCTCTCCAGCATCTGTTTCCTGACTTTTAATGATCGCCTTTCTAACTGGCATGAGATGGTATCTCATTGTGGTTTTGATTTGCATTTCTGTAATGACCAGTGATAATGAGCTTTTTTTCCCTATGTTTGTTGGCCGCATAAATGTCTTCTTTTGAGAAGTGTCTGTTCATATCCTTTGCCCACTTTTTGATGGGGTTGTTTGTTTTTTTCTTGTAAATTTGTTTAAGTTCTTTGTAGATTCTGGATCTTAGCCCTTTTTCAGATGGAGAGATTGCAGAATTTTTCTCCCATTCTGTAGGTTGCCTGTTCACTCTGATGATCGTTTCTTTTTCTGTGCAGAAGCTCTTTAGTTTAATTAGATCCCATTTGTCTATTTTGGATTTTGTTGCCATTGCTTTTGGTGTTTTAATCAAGAAGTCTTTGCCCATGCCTATGTCCTGAATGGTATTGCCTAGGTTTTCTTCTAGAGTTTTTATGGTTTTAGATCTTACATTTAAGACTTTAATCCATCTTGAGTTAATTTTTGTATAAGGTGTAAGGAAGGGATCCAGTTTCAGCTTTCTGCACATGGCTAGCCAGTTTTCTCAACATTATTTATTAAATAGGGAATCCTTTCCCCATTTCTTGTTTTTGTCAGGTTTGTCAAAGATCAGATGGTTGTAGATGTGTGGTGTTATTTCTGAGGCATCTGTTCTGTTCCATTGGTCTATATATCTGTTTTGGTACGGTAATATGCTGTTTTGGTTACTGTAGGCTTGTAGTATAGTTTAAAGTCAGGTAGCGTGATGCCTCCAGCTTTGTTCTTTTTGCTTAGGATTGTCTTGTCTATGAGGGCTCTTTTTTGGTTTCATATGAAATTTAAAGTAGTTTTTTCCAGTTCTGTGAAGAATGTCAATGGTAGCTTGATGCGGATAGCATTGAATCTATGAATTACTTTGGGCAGGATGGCTGTTTTCACAATATTGATTCTTCCTATCCATGAGCATGGAATGTTCTTCCATTTGTTTGTGTCCTCTCTTATTTCCTTGAGTGATGGTTTGTAGTTCTCCTTGAAGAGGTACTTCACATGTCTTGTAAGTTGTATTCCTAGGTATTTTATTCTCTTAGTAGCAGTTGTGAATGGGAGTTCACTCCTGATTTGGCTCTCTGTCTGTTATTGATGTATAGGAATGCTTGTGATTTTTGCACCTTGATTTTGTATCCTGAGACTTTGCTGAAGTTGCTTATCAGCTTGAGGAGATTTTGGGCTGAGACGATGGGGTTGTCTAAATATACAATCATGTCATCTGCAAACAGAGACAATTTGAGTTCCTCTTTTCCTAATTGAATACCGTTTATTTTTTTCTCTTGCCAAATTGCCCTGGCCAGAACTTTCAATACTATGTTGAATAGGAGTGGTGTGAGAGGGCATTTTTATCTTATGCCGGTTTTCAAAGGGAATGCTTCCAGCTTTTGCCCATTCAGTTTGATATTGGCTGTGGGTTTGTCATAAATAGCTCTTATTATTTTGAGATGCGTTCCATCGATACCTAGTTTACTGAGAGTTTTTAGCATTAAGGGGTGTTGAATTTTGTCAAAGGCCTTTTCTGCATCTATTGAGATAATCATGTGGTTTTTGTTGTTGGTTCTGTTTATGTGATGGATTACATTTATTGATTTGCCTATGTTGAATCAGCTTTGCATCCCAGGGATGAAGCTGACTTGATCGTGGTGGATAAGCTTTTTGATGTGCTACTGGATTCGGTTTGCCAGTATTTTATTGAGGATTTTCGCATCGATGTTCATCAGGGATATTGGCCTAAAATTTTCTTTTTTTGTTGTCTCTGCCAGGTTTTGGTATGAGGATTATGCTGGCCTCATAAAATGAGTTAGGAAGGATTCCCTCTTTTTCTATCATTCGGAGTAGTTTTAGAAGGAATGGTACCAGCTCTACTTTGTACCTTTGGTAGAATTTGGCTGTGAATCCATCTGGTCCTGGACATTTTTTGGTTGGTAGGCTATTAATTACTGCCTCAATTTCAGAACTTGTTATTGGTCTACTTAGGGATTCAACTTCTTCCTGGTTTGGTCTTGGGGGTTGTATGTGTCCGGAAATTTATCCATTTCTTCTAGATTTTCTAGTTTATTTGCGTAGAGTTGTTTATAGTATTATCTGATGTTAGTTTGTATTTCTGTGGGATTGGTGGTGATATCCCCTTTATTATTTTTTATTGCATCTATTTGATTCTTCTCTCTTTTCTTTTTTATTAATCTGGCTAGCAGTCTATCTATTTTGTTGATCTTTTCAAAAAACTAGCTCCTGGATTCATTGATTTTTTTGAAGGGTTTTTTTTGTGTGTGTGTGTGTTTCTATCTTCTTCAGTTCTGCTCTAATCTTAATTATTTCTTGTCTTCTGCTAGCTTTTGAATTTGTTTGCTCTTGTTTCTCTAGTTCTTTTAATTGTGATGTTAGGGTGTTGATTTTAGTTCGTTCCTGCTTTCTCTTGTGAGCATTTAGTGCTATAAATTTCCCTCTACACACTGCTTTAAATGTGTCCCAGAGATCTGGGACATGCGTCTTTGTTCTCATTGGTTTCAAATAACATCTTTATTCTGCCTTCATTTTGTTATTTACCCAGTAGTCATTCAGGAGCAGGTTGTTCAGTTTCCATGTAGTTGTGTGGGTTTGAGTGAGTTTCTTAATCCTAGGTTCTAATTTGATTGCACCGTGGTCTGAGAGACAGTTTGTTATGATTTCCGTTCTTTTGCATTTGCTGAGGAGTGTTTTACTTCCAATTATGTGGTCAATTTTAGAATAAGCACGATGTGGTGCTGAGAAAAATGTATATTCTGTTGATTTGGGGTGGAGAGTTCTGTAGATGTCCATTAGGTCTGCTTGGTCCGGAAGTGAGTTTAAGTCCTGGATATTGTTGTTAATTTTCTGTCTCATTGATCTGTCTAATGTTGACAGTCGGGTGTTAAAGTTTCCCACTATTATTGTGTGGGAGTCTCTGTGTCTTCCATTATGACTTGTGTTAGATGGTATCTCGTGATTTTTAAAATTTTTTATTTTTTCATAAGTTATTGGGTTACAGGTGGTGTTTGGTTACATGAGTAAGTTTATATATACCAGAGTTTCTTTTTCCACTCGTTGATTCATAGGCATTTGGGTTGGTTCCATGGTTTTGCAGTTGTGAATTGTACTGCTATAAACATGCATGTGCAAGTATCTTTTTTGTATAGTGACTTCTTTTCCTCTGGGTAGATACCAATAATGGGATTGCTGGATCAAATGGTGGAACTACTTTTAGTTCTTTAAGGAATCTCCACACTGTGTTTCATAGTAGTTGTACCAGTTTACATTCCCACCAGCAGTGTAGAAGTATTCCCTGTTCACCACATCCATGCTAACATCTATTATTTTTTGATTTTTTGATTATGGCCATTATTGCAGGAGTAAAGTGGTACCACATTGTGGTTTTGATTTGCATTTCTCTGATCATTAGTGATGTTGAGCATTTTTTCATGTTTGTTGGCCATTTGTATATCTTCTTTTGATAATTTTCTATTCATGTCCTTAGCCCACTTTTTGATGGGATTGTTTGTTTTTTGCTTACTGACTTGTTTGTTTTCTTTGTAGATTCTGCATATTAGTCCTCTGTCAATTGTATAGAGTATGAAGATTTTCTCCCACTCTCTGGGTTGTCTGTTTACTCTGCTTACTGTTCCTTTTGCCACACAAAAGCTCTTTAGTTCAAGTCCCAGTTATTTACTTTTTTTTATTTTTTATTTTTTTTGAGACAGAGTTTTGTTCTTTTTGCCCAGGCTGGAGTGCGGTGGCATGATCTCGGCTCACTGCAACCTCCGCCTTCCGGTTTCAAGCGATTCTGCTGCCTCAGCCTCCTGAGTAGCTGGGACTATAGGCTGGGACTACAGGCCACCACGCCCAGCTAATTTTTTGTATTTTTAGTAGAGATGGGGTTTCACCATGTTGGCCAGGATAGTCTCCATCTCTTGACCTTGTGATCCGCCCATCTCAGCCTCCCAAAGTGCTGGGATTACAGGTGTGAGCCACCATGCCTGGCCCATTTACTTTTTTTAAAATTGCATTTGCTTTTGGGTTCTTGGTTATAAAATCCTTGCCTAAGCCAATATCTAGAAGGGTTCCTCCAATGTTATCTTCTAGAATTTTTAGTTTCAGGTCTTAAATTTAAGTCCTTAATCAATCTTGAGTTGATTTTTATATAAAGTTAGAGATTGGATCCAATTTCATTCTCTACATATGGCTAGGCAATTATCCTAGCATCATTTGTTGAAAAGGGTGTCCTTTCACCACTTTATGTTTTTGTTTGTTGAATATCAGTTGGCTTTAAGTATTTGGGTTTATTTCTGGGTTCTCTATTCTGTTCCATTGGTCTATGTGCCTGTTTTTATACCAGTACCATGCTGTTTTGGTGACTCTGGCCTTAAAGTATAGTTTGAAATCAGGTAGTGTGATGCCTCCACGTTTGTTCTTTTTGCTTAGTCTTGCTTTGGCTATGCAGGCTCTTTTTTGGTTCCATATGAATTTTAAAATTTAAGTCTTTAATCTATCTTGAGTTAATTTTTGTACATTGTGTAAAGAAGGGGCCCAGTTTCAGTCTTCTGCATATGACTAGCCAGTTATCTCAGCACCGTTTAATGAATAGAAAATCCTTTCCCCATTGCTTGTTTTTGTCAAGATTGTTGAAGATCAGATAGTTGTAGGTGTGTGGTCTTATTTCTGGGTATTCTTTTCTGATCTGTTGGTCTATGTGACTATTTTTTTGTACCAGTATCATGCTGTTTTGGTTACTGTAGGCCTGGACTCTAATTTGAAGTTGGGTAGCATACTGCCTCTAGCTTTTTTCTTTTTGCTTAAGATTGCCTTGGCTTTTCAGGCTCTTTTCTGGTTCCATCTGAATTTTAGTTTTCCCTAGTTCTCTGAAGAATGTCAATGGTACTTTAATAGAAATAGCATTGAGTCTATAAATTTATTTGGGCAGTATGGCCATTTTAACAACATTGTGGAAATTTCTCCCTTGATAATGTATAAAGCCAGATACAATACTGAATTTCTGGGGAATTGCATAGATTATTGCCACCATCAGAGACTTGGAAGACTCAGGAGTAGAGATAGTTATCACATCTCTATGTAATTTGCCTATGTGAGCTGTGCAGAAGCCAGATTAATTTTGGGAGGTGACTGTGGGTCATTATAGACTTAATCAGATGGTGGTGATAGAGACTGCAGCTGCTTTCTCAGATACAGCATTTTTACTGGTGCAAAACAACATAGTCTGGTATATTGATGGCATTATGCTGATTAGATTTGAATAGCTGTAAGTAGGAAGAATCTTGCAAACCGGATAATGGAAGATTAACCCCATGAAATTTCAGGGGCCTCTTACTGCAGTGAAGTTTCTGGGGTCCAGTGGCCTGGATAATGTCAAAATATCCCCTCCAAGGTGAAAGACAAGTTGCCATTCCTTCCACCATCTACCATGAAAAAGAGTTACAACTCTTGGTAGGTCTTTCTGGGTTTTAGAGATAATATATATTGCATTTGGGTGTGTTACTTTGGCCTTTCTACTGAGATACTGATAAGTGTGCAGTTTTGAGTGGGAACCAGAAGAAGACAAAGCTCTATAGTACGTTCAGGCTGCATTGCAAGCTACTTTTTCATTCAGGCCTTATGATTCAGCAGATCAAATAATACTTGAAGTGTTCGTTGCAAACTGGGGTGCTTTAGAAAGCCTCTGGAAAGTACCAATATGAGAATAAGAGCACGCAACCCTAGGATTTTGTAATACTTCTATGTCCTCTTCTGCAGATAACTAATATAAAATATAAAAGCATGATACAACTGTGCTATTTCTAATTAATATACTTTGAATGTGTAGATACCCATGGGCTAAAAGTAAAAGCATGAAAAGTGATATATTGTGCAAGCATCAATAAAAATGCTGTAGTGGCTATATTAGTATCAGATAAAATACATATAAGAATAAAGAGTATTACTAGAGATAAAGAGGGATATTTCATAATGAAAAAGAAAGAGATCATCGAGAAGACACGGTAATCCTAAAGGTATATGCATGTATAGAGATTCAGAATGCTTGAGGGAACAACTGACAGAATAGAATGGAGAAATAAAGAATTAACAATTATGGGTAGCTATTTCACTACTCTGGTCTCAATAATTGATAGAGTGAGACCTCAGTGAGGTTATAGAAGATTGAACAGGACTATTAGCCAAGTGTGACCTAATAAGCACTTATAGAACATGCCACCCAATATGTTTAAATATGCATAATACGCATATTTCTACATGCACATAGAACATTTACCAAGATAGAACATTTTTATTAATAAAACAAGTTTTAATATATTTAAAGTATTGAAATAATAGAAAATATGCTCTCTGATCACAAAAATGTTTACAAAAAATAAATCACAGAAAAATGTCTGGAAAATTATTATAATTTGGAAATTGAGCAACATACTTCCAAATAAACCATAGGTGAAAGAGGAAATTATGAGGAAAATCAGAAAATATTTCAAGCTATGTGAAAATGAAAACATAGCATATTGACATTTGTAGGATAAAATCTTGTATTTAGTGGGTAATATATAGAATTAATGCTTATATTAGAAAAGAAGAAAGATGTAAAATCAATGTACTCAGCTTTCACACTTAGGAAATAGAAAATAAAAAAGAGAAACTAAACTCCAAAGAGGAAGAGAGATAACTGAGTGGAAGTAGGTGAAATAAAATTCTGTAGCTCTGTTCTCCACAACGAAACAAGGAACTATTAAATGAGGTTCAAAACATCTACTATAAGAAAATAAAACTAATTTATTCATATCTCTAAAAAGAAAATTATCCTAAACAGACTGTTGGTAGAAATATGGACGTTAAAGATACTTACTGCTAGTGAAGGATCAGAAGAAAATGAGGAAGACATTATTTGAAACTATTGGAAAGGGGATTCTTGTTATAGAGTGGTAGAAAGTGTAGCTAAATTGTGTCCTACATAATTATGTGGAAACTAGACTTTGTAAGGAATGTCCTTGGATTTGGATAAGGAGACTGCCAAGTGTTGAAGGTGTGCTGAGGTTTCTTCTTTCTGCTTATAGTAAAATGTGACAGGAAAAGCACAAATTGAAGGAAGAACTGTTAAGCCAAAAGAAACCAGGACTTGATGATGCGGGAAATTTCCAACCTATCCAATTTGAAAAAGACACTCAAATTCGAAGATTCACTTTCAGGAAAGCGAGTTCTGGGGAGAAAACTGAGGTTGTGGTTGAATTATCTTTTGCTAGTGCCTTGGAAGGATCTAGAGCCAGAGTATTCAGTCACACAGAAGCTCTTTGAAGAAATCAGGTGTATGACTCATGGATCCCTTCAGCCATCTCTGAAGAGGCCAAAAATAGACCTGCATTATCTAGGAAAGACCTGTAGAGGAGCTGTTGTGTGGAGTGAATTCCCATGACAGATGTAGGAGACTCAAAATGTTCATGAGATTTTATATCAATAGCAGCACTGCCAGCTTGGACTGAAAGGGACAGAAAGAAGGATACATGAAGGAAGACTATTGAGACTCTGGAATTCTAAAGGCAGGAAGCAGGCTGATAAAACTACTTATGCTGAAAGCAATGCTATTCTTCATGAAAAAGGAAGATTGACTCCAAAGTCAGAGCCATCCTATTCTCTGAGGGTGAAGCTGTGAACCACACAGGTTATTCCTAGGCCTTGAAACTCAATGGAGTTTTCCTTACAGGGTTTTGAGATTGCTTGAGATGGCTGATTTCTTTTTTCTTCCCATTTTTCTTTTTTGAATGGAAATGTTTGTCTGGTGTTCTACACTTATTCCATCTTGTATTTTGACAGCTGTTAACTTGTTTTCTAGTTTTGCAAGTCTACAGATGGAGATGAATTTTGCCCTAGATGGATCATATCCAGAATTTCATCCATATCTGATTTTTATTTTTCAGATGATGTGAATTTGGGTTCTTTGAGCTGATGAGATTTAGATTAGATTTCAGACTTTGAGCTGCTGTTGTAATGAGTTAAGACTCTTGGGAATATTAGGATGGGATGAATGCATTGAATGTGAGATGAATGAATCTTTGTGGGCTAGACTGCTTACTGTGGTAGAATTATATCCCCCTAACGATGTTCATATCCTAATCCCTGGAACTTGTGCATATGTTATTTGACATGGTAAAAGAGACTTTCCAATGTGATTAAGTTAATAAATGTATGTTATTTTAAGCTACTAAATTTGTGGTATTTATTAGAAGAGTAATAGAAACAAATACCTCTTGTCTTTGGAATTGCCTTTCCCCTGGGAACATTGGCCATTTTCAAAGGAAGAGCCGTCTGCATCTTACCAGTCTGAGAATCTGCCTGATAAGTTTGACAGACTCATGTGGTCCAGAGGGCACAACCTGGTGAATGTTCCTTGTGTATCTGATAAGATTCAGGCAAGAGATAGAAAGCACACCAATAATGTGAATGTTGATAATTTAATATTTAAAAATTAGTTAAAAATGGTCAACTACTTATAATGGAAAACTAGACTCTATACTAAAACAGCTTATGTAGGAAGCCTCTACAAATGTACTGTCTTTAGTGGGATTGGGTAAAGAGAATGAGAAAGAGAGAGAGAGAAGGGCAAGAAATACACTAAGAACTTGGAAGAATCACCTCCCGCTCCTAAGATTGAGATCTCACTGGAGAGGGCATAGCTATGGTTCACTGGGTGGCAAAGAAGTTCACTGGAGTCAGTGGACCGGAGTTTATCTGTATGTAGTTATCAACTGAAGTAATGGCAGATTGGGGCTTGTCTACAGGAAGCTGTCCTTGAGGGTTCCTGAGAAACTCAATGGGCCTCCAGCATGTCACTAGCAGGCACACCACAGAAGGAAGAAAATACACTAGAATTAGGAAGTGAAACCCCTTCCTTTACCATGACATACAATGTCCATCTGGTGCCCTCTCTTGCCAACTAATATTAGACAAGCTGGCAAAAGAAATTTGTACAGGGTCCAGATCCAGTAAAACCTAGGCCAAAGAGGATAAATGTCGAGGCAGAGGAATAAATCGGTAACTAACACGGTACACTCCATTTTTTTTTCTGTCCATACTTTTATTGTCTTTATCTGAAAATCTTCATAGAAAATTGTTTGGTTTAGCTCTCAGCAGCCCACTCCTGAGCTCTTGAGGGGGCTTGCTTTCTTTTGAGCTACCCGATCTTTCTTCTGAGCAAGGGACATTTTGGGACGATTCCACCTCTTTTTAACTTCTTTCTTGGGCTTCTTTTCATAGACTGGATTCTCTCGTATAGCAGCATGAGCTTTCCTATACATCTCCATCATGTCTGGAGTTACTCTGTTCTTTATGTATTGAGAGAACTGTTTCTTGTAATTATCTTCATCTTACATGTAATCTGCAACATTCTGCAACATTCTGGCCCACAATGTGCTTCCTGTGTAGTTCTACATAAATTCCTTGCTTTCAGAATCATAACCAGGGAATCATTTGGTACTGTGAGGGATAGACAAGCCTCCATCCACAGCTCCCTTCAGGGTGCCAAAAACTTTATTGCCAGTGGTAGTTCTGGCAAGGCCTGCATCCAAATAGCAGGTAAAGGCACCCGGCGGACCATCAATGCTTTCCACATTGTATTCATCGCCAGTCACCTCCACTTGGCCTTCATAGATCTTGTCCATGCCAAACCTATTGAGTAGCCTGCAGGCCAGCAGGAGGCCAGTACAATACGCTGCAACATAATTTGTTAGGCCATCCTTCATACCATATTTTGGCAGTTCGTGTGCATATGCTGCACAGACTATTATATCCCTGTCTATATGGGCATAAGCAATCTGACAAATGATATCTCTGTTTGTTACACGAACTATCATCCTGTATTTGGGTGTTTTATATTTATTTTTATCCTGTATCACTAAGTGTTTCCAAGCATGGTATTCAGTTTTACCCTTTCCTCGTCTTCTAAATTTCACTTGGTATCTCTTAAAGCAGGCCTTATTCTTAACAACTTTAACAAACTGTGGAACAAAGGCCTGCAGGCCCAGCAGCACTAGGGGGTGGAAAGGGCCACAGCCAATACACTCCTTTTATTAGTCAGCTTCTGTTTCCTTTTACACAACAACGAAACAACTCTGTTTCCACCTAACAAAGCAAAGCTATTCTTTATACAAGTAAAAAAGGTTTGATACTTTCCTTACGAGGAGATATACATTTCCAGTAGTTGTTGTATAAATTACTTGCCAGCTGTATTAATTAATCCTTAAATTCACTTGAACTGCAAGTGAATACTCTTAAAGAGTAAACTAAAGTAATCCTTGATAATAAAGGAGAGCCTTTTTGCTATCCTCCCCATTTTTATTCTTATACCTTTTGGAATACAGATGGGGGTAATTACATTTGCAGTAGTCATTTTATGACCATGATATAGCAAAAAGAAAAGATGTTCAAGAGAATCCTAAAGACCTGAGTTTTGACATTGTTGAGTCTTGAATTAATATTTACATAGCCTATTTCTGGACTTCTTGCTTTATAATACAAATAAAACTTTATTTTTAAAAACAGTATTGGGTTTGTTGATATTTGTGGCCAAATGCATTTCTTCTGGATATTCTTGTAAAACAAACTGAAAAGCCAGTGAAAGTAATTATATTGAGAGAAAGCACAGTGAAAGTAAAATTCTGTCATGAAATGATGCTATCAAATGTTATATAATATCAGTGGCATATGTTTACAATAGCATTTACAAATATGTCAAATATCTGTACAAAAATGTGTAGATACTTTGGTTTATTCTTGTATTAAAATACTAATTCAGAGTATAAATTAACCCTTGCTTATGTGTGCTACATATATATGTGGAGATGACTTTGGCAACATTTGGTTATATTTATCATTGAAAACACAAGCAATGGGAGAAATGGTGTTTCGTTGATTTAATTTTATAGGACATATGGATTTGAAAACTTTCATTGAGATCAGCAGTGACCTATTAATGTTATGGAAGGGTGTTATGTAAATAATAGGTGTTCCAGTTGGGTAGCTATCCACACTCTGATTTGTTCATGGAAAACATTTGATAATCAGCAGTGAAACTACTAGACAAGAGGAATGATGATAGCATGATGGGAGAATAGGAGTTTCCAATGCACACTCCTCTGTATTAGTCTGTTTTCACAGTGCTATAAAGATACTACATGAAACTAGGTAATTTATAAAGGAAAGAAGTTGGTAAGGAGCCAAGATGGCTGAATAGGAACAGCTCCGGTCTACAGCTCCCAGCGTGAGTGACACAGAAGACAGGTGATTTCTGCATTTCCATCTGAGGTACCAGGTTCATCTCACTAGGGAGTGCCAGACAGTGGGTGCAGGACAGTGGGTGCAGCGAACTGTGCGCAGGCCGAAGCAGGGTGAGGCATTGCCTCACTCGGGAAGCACAAGGGGTCAGGGAGTTCCCTTTGCTAGTCAAAGAAAGGGGTGACAGACGGCACCTGGAAAATCTGGTCACTCCCACCCTAATACTGCGCTTTTCCAACGGGCTTAAAAAACGGCACACCAGGAGATTATATCCTGCACATGGCTCGGAGGGTCCTACAACCATGGAGTCTCACTGATTGCTAGCACAGCAGTCTGAGATCAAACTGCAAGGTGGCAGCAAGGCTGGGGGAGGGGTGCCCGCCATTGCCCAGGCTTGCTTAGGTAAACAAAGCAGCCAGAAAGCTCGAACTGGGTGGAGCCCACCACAGCTCAAGGAGGCCTGCCTGCCTCTGTAGGCTCCACCTCTGGGGGCAGGGCACAGACAAACAAAAAGACAGCAGTAACCTCTGCAGACTTAAATGTCCCCGTCTGACAGCTTTAAAGAGAATAGTGGTTCCCCCAGCACGCAGCTGGAGATCTGAGAACGGGCAGACTGTCTCCTCAAGTGGTTCCCTGACCCCTGAGCAGCCTAACTGGGAGGCACCCCCAGTAGGGGCAGATTGACACCTCACACGGCCAAGTACTCCTCTGAGACAAAACTTCCAGAGGACTGATCAGGCAGCAACATTTGCGGTTCACGAAAATCCGCTGTTCTACAGTCATCGCTGTTCTGCAGCCACCGCTGCTGATACCCAGGCAAACAGGGTCTGGAGTGGACCTCCAGCAAACTCCAACAGACCTGCAGCTGAGGGTCCTGTCTGTTAGAAGGAAAACTAACAAACAGAAAGGACATCCACCCCAAAAACACATCTGTACTTCACCATCATCAAAGACCAAAAGTAGATGAAACCACAAAGATGGCGAAAAAACAGAGCAGAAAAACTGGAAACTCAAAAAAGCAGAGCTCCTCTCCTCCTCCAAAGGAATGCAGTTCCTCACCAGTAACAGAACAAAGCTGGATGGAGAGTGACTTTGATGAGTTGAGAGAAGAAGGCTTCAGAAGATCAAACTACTCCGAGCTACAGGAGGAAATTCAAACCAATGGCAAAGAAGTTAAAAACTTGGAAAAAAATTAGATGAATGTATAACTAGAATACCCAATGCAGAGAAGTGCTTAAAGGAGCTGATGGAGCTGAAAGCCAACGCTCGAGAACTACGTGAAGAATGCAGAAGCCTCAGGAGCCGATGCGATCAACTGGAAGAAAGGGTATCAGTGATGGAAGATGAAATGAATGAAATGAAGCAAGAAGGGAAGTTTAGAGAAAAAAGAATAAAAAGAAACGGACAAAGTCTCCAAGAAATATGGGACTATGTGAAAAGACCAAATCTACGTCTGATTGATGTACCTGAAAGTGATGGGGAAAATGGAACCAAGTTGGAAAACACTCTGCAGGATATTATCCAGGAGAACTTCCCCAATCTAGCAAGGCAGGCCAACATTCAGATTCAGGAAATACAGAGAACGCCACAAAGATACTCCTCGAGAAGAGCAACTCCAAGACACATAATTGTCAGATTCACCAAAGTTGAAATGAAGGAAAAAATGTTAGGGGCAGCCAGAGAGAAAGGTCACGTTACCCACAAAGGGAAGCCCATCAGACTAACAGTGGATCTCTTGGCAGAAACTCTACAAGCCAGAAGAGAGTGGGGGCCAATATTCAACATTCTTAAAGAAAAGAATTTTCAACCCAGAATTTCATATCCAGCCAAACTAAGCTTCATAAGTGAAGGAGAAATAAAATACTTTACAGACAAGCAAATGCTGAGAGATTTTGTCACCACCAGACCTGCCCTAAAAGAGCCCCTGAAGGAAGCACTAAACATGGAAAGGAACAACCAGTACCAGCCACTGCAAAAACATGCCAAATTGTAAAGACCATCAAGGCTAGGAAGAAACTGCATCAACTAACAAGCAAAATAACCAGCTAACATCATAATGACAGGATCAAATTCACACATAACAATATTAACTTTAAATGTAAATGGGCTATATGCTCCAATTAAAAGACACAGACTGGCAAATTGGATAAAGAGTCAAGACCCATCAGTGTGTTGTATTCAGGAAACCCATCTCAGGTGCAGAGACACACATAGGCTCAGAATAAAGGGATGGAGGAAGATCTACCAAGCAAATGGAAAACAAAAAAAGGCAGGGGTTGCAATCCTAGTCTCTGATAAAAGAGACTTTAAACCAACAAAGATCAAAAGAGACAAAGAAGGCCATTACATAATGGTAAAGGGATCAATTCAACAAGAAGAGCTAACTATCCTAAATATATATGCACCCAATACAGGAGCACCCAGATTCATAAAGCAAGTCCTGAGTGACCTACAAAGAGACTTAGACTCCCACACAATAATAATGGGAGACTTTAAGACCCCACTGTCAACATTAGACCGATCAATGAGACAGAAAGTTAACAAGGATACCCAGGAATTAAACTCAGCTCTGCACCAAGCAGACCTAATAGACATCTACAGAACTCTCCACCCCAAATCAACAGAATATACATTTTTCAGCATCACACCACACCTATTCCAAAATTGACCACATAGTTGGAAGTAAAGCACTCCTCAGCAAATGTAAAAGAACAGAAATTATAACGAACTGTCTCTCAGACCACAGTGCAATCAAACTAGAACTCAGGATTAAGAAACTCACTCAAAACCGCTCAACTACATGGAAACTGAACAACCTGCTCCTGAATGACTACTGGGTAAATAACAAAATGAAGGCAGAAATGAAGATGTTCTTTGAAATCAATGAGAACAAAGACACAACATACCAGAATCTCTGAGACACATTCAAAGCAGTGTGTAGAGGGAAATTTATAGCACTAAATGCCCACAAGAGAAAGCAGGAAAGATCTAAAATTGACACCCTAACATCATAATTAAAAGAACTAGAAAAGCAAGAGCAAGCACATTCAAAAGCTAGCAGAAGGCAAGAAATAACTAAAATCAGAGCAGAACTGAATTAAACAAAGACACAAAAAACCCTTCAAAGAATTAATGAATCCAGGAGCTGGTTTTTTGAAAAGATCAACAAAACTGATAGACTGCTAGCAAGACTAATAAAGAAGAAAAGAGAGAAGAATCAAATAGACGCAATAAAAAATGATAAAGGGGATATCACCACCAATCCCACAGAAATACAAACTACCATCAGAGAATACTACAAACACCTCTACACAAATAAACTAGAAAATCTTGAAGAAATGGATAAATTCCTGGACACATACACCTTCCTAAGACTAAACCAGGAAGAAGTTGAATCTCTGAATAGACCAATAACAGGATCTGAAATTGTGGGAATAATCAGTAGCTTACCAACCAAAAAGAGTCCAGGACCAGATGGATTCACAGCCGAGTTCTACCAGAGGTACAAGGAGGAGCTGGTACCATTCCTTCTGAAACTATTCCTATCAATAGAAAAAGAGGGAATCCTCGCTAACTCATTTTATCAGGCCAGTATCATCCTGATACCAAAGCCGGGCAGAGATACAACCAAAAAAGAGAATTTTAGACCAATATCCTTGATGAACATTGAGGCAAAAATCCTCAATAAAATACTGGCAAACCGAATCCAGCAGCACATCAAAAAGCTTATCCACCATGATCAAGTGGGCTTCATCCCTGGGATGCAAGGCTGGTTCAATATATGCAAATCAATAAATGTAATCCAGCATATGAACAGAACCAAAGACAAAAACCACATGATTATCTCAATAGATGCAGAAAAGGCCTTTGACAAAATTCAACAACCCTTCATGCTAAAAACTCTCAATAAATTAGGTATTGATGGGACATATCTCAAAATAATAAGAGCTATCTATGACAAACCCACAGCCAATCTCATACTGAATGGGCAAAAACTGGAAGCATTCCCTTTGAAAACTGGCACAAGACAGGGATGCCCTCTCTCACCACTCCTATTCAACATACTGTTGGAAGTTCTGGCCAGGGCAATTAGGCAGGAGAAGGAAATAAAGGGTATTCAATTAGGAAAAGAGGAAGTCAAATTGTCCCTGTTTGCAGACGACATGATTGTATATCTAGAAAACCCCATTGTCTCAGCCCAAAATCTCCTTAAGCTGATAAGCAACTTCAGCAAAGTCTCAGGATACAAAATCAATGTAAAAAAATCACAAACATTCTTATACACCAACAACAGACAAACAGAGAGCCAAATCATGAGTGAACTCCCATTCACAATTGCTTCAAAGAGAATAAAATACCTAGGAATCCACCTTACGAGGGACGTGAAGGACCTCTTCAAGGAGAACTACAAACCACTGCTCAATGAAATAAAAGAGGATACAAACAAATGGAAGAATATTCCGTGCTCATTGGTTGGAAGAATCAATATTGTGAAAATGGCCGTACTGCCCAAGGTAATTTATACATTCAATGCCATCCCCATCAAGCTACCAATGCCTTTCTTCACAGAATTGGAAAAAACTACTTTAAAGTTCATATGGAACCAAAAAAGAGCCCGCATCGCCAAGTCAATCCTAAGCCAAAAGAATAAACCCGGAGGCATCATGCTACCTGACTTCAAACTATACTACAAGGTTACAGTAACCAAAACATCATGGTACTGGTAACAAAACAGAGATATAGATCAATGGAACAGAACAGAGCCCTCAGAAATAATGCTGCGTATCTACAACTACCTGATCTTTGACAAACCTGACAAAAACAAGCAATGGGAAAGGGATTCCCTATTTAATAAATGGTGCTGGCACCTGGCTAGCCATATGTAGAAAGCTGAAACTGGATCCCTTCCTTACACCTTATACAAAAATTAATTCAAGATGGATTAAAGACTTACATGTTAGACCTAAAACCATAAAAAGTCTAGAAGAAAACCTAGGCAATACCATTCAGGACATCGGCATGGGCAAGGACTTCATGTCTAAAACACCAAAAGCAATGGCAACAAAAGCCAAAATTGACAAATGGGATATCATTAAACTAAAGAGCTTCTGCACAGCAAAAGAAACTACCATCAGAGTGAACAGGCAACCTAGAAATTGGGAGAAAATTTTCGCAACCTACTCATCTGACAAAGGGCTAATATGCAGAATCTACAATGAACTCAAACAAATTTACAAAAAAAAAACAAACAACCCCATCAAAAAGTGGGCAAAGGATATGAAAAGACACTTCTCAAAAGAAGACATTTATGCAGCCAAAAAACACATGAAAAAATGCTCATCATCACTGGCCATCAGGGAAATGCAAATCAAAACCACAATGAGATACCATCTCACACCATTTAGAATGGCAGTCATTCAAAAGTCAGGAAACAATAGGTGCTGGAGAGGATGTGGAGAAATAGGAACACTTTTACACTGTTGGTGGGACTATAAACTAGTTCAACCATTGTGGAAGTCAGTGTGGTGATTCCTCAGGGATCTAGATCTAGAAATACCATTTGACCCAGCCATCCCATTACTGGGTATGTACCCAAAGGATTATAAATCATGCTGCTATAAAGACACATGCACACGTATGTTTATTGTGGCACTACTCACAATCGCAAAGACTTGGAACCAACCCAAATGTCCAACAATGATAGACTGGATTAAGAAAATCTGGCACATATACACCATGGAATACTATGCAGCCATAAAAAATGATGAGTTCATGTCCTTTGTAGGGACATGGATGAAACTGGAAATCATCATTCTCAGCAAACTATCACAAGGACAAAAAACCAAACACCGCATGTTCTCCCTCATAGGTGGGAATTGAATAATGAGAACACATGGACACAGGAAGGGGAACATCACACTCTGGGGACTGTTGTGGGGTGGGGATGGGGGGAGGGATAGCATTAGGAAATATACCTAATGCTAAATGATGAGTTATTGGGTGAGTACACCAACATGGCACATGTATACATATGTAACAAACCTGCACATTGTGCACATGTACCCTAAAACTTAAAGTATAATAATAATAAAATAAAATAAAAAAGAAAAAGAAAAGAAGTTTAACTGACTCACAGTCCCACATGGCTAGGGAGGCCTCAGGAAACTTACAATCATGGCAGAAGGTGGAAGAGAAGCAAGTATTTTCTTCACAAGGTAGCAGGAGAGAGAGAGAGAGAATGAATGAATGCAGGCTAAACTGCCACTTTTAAAACCATCAGATATCATGAGAACTCCCTCACTATCATGAGAATAGCATGGGGGAAACCACCACCATGATCCAGTCTCCTCCCACCAGGTCCTCCCTCAACATGTGAGAATTACAATTTGAGATGAGATTTGGGTAGGGACAGAGCCAAACCATATCACCTTCACAGAAACATCAGTTGAAACAACCATCTGTGCATAAAAATATGTTCACAAGCGCTAAGGTTTCCAGATAAGAGTTTACAGTATCTACATGGAGCACATAAATAAGAAAAGATGCATTAAAGAGGGTAGGAAGGACAGTTTCACATTACTGGCATAACCCCTCACCCCAACCTGAGCAGGATAGTGCAGAGAAATGTGTTGGGAAAGGAAGATGAAGTAAGGACCTCACTTTGCCTCATAGTCATGTCACCAGGCCCAACCCAGTAAACCCCAGTGCCAGGATGTACCCAACAAACCTACACTTCAAGCTTGTCATAGCACCAGGTCACCCTGGCAGATCCAGGCTTCAGGCCAACATCAGTGGGTACAGGCTCCAGTACTGCCCTTACAGGCAAGTAACTTTTGTCTGTAGCACTGTCTGTAGCAGTGATGGCTACAGACTCTAGTATGGCCACTGAAGACCCAGGCAAAAAGCCGGTACTTGCAGATCCACGCTCTAGGCCTGTCCTAACACCAAGCCATCCTCAGTAGACTGAGGTACCAGTCTGGCCCTTGCAGATTCAGGCTCCAGGTCCAACAAAGTGCTAGGCCAGCCCCTGCAGACTCAGGCTTCAGGCTAGCACCTGTGGACACAGGCAACAGGCCTACCTGCCCACTGACTCAGGAACCTGGCCAACCTGACCAAGGATTCAGCAGTAAGCCTACCTGACCTGTGGACCTCACCAGTTTGCCTACCAACTGAATATCTTGGTGGGCTGAGTAATGATGGATGTTCCCTGCTGAAGCTTGTTTGTAAAGAGTAGAATAAGAGCCTGTTCCTTCAAATGCACAGACACCAATGAAAGACAGCAATTATGAAAAATCAGGAAAAAGTCATACCACTAAAAGAATAAAATAAAGCTTCAGGAACTAACCCTAATGAAATGGAGATCTATGAATAGCCTGACAAAGAACCATTGTGTTAAAGAAGCTTAGTGAGCTACAAGAGAACACAGATGGGCAAGTAAACAAAATCAGGAAAACAATACATGAAGAAAATGAGAAGTTCAACAAGAAGATAGAATGTATAAAATAAAACCAAACAGAAATTGTGGAGCTGAAGGACACAATGACTGAACTAAAAAATTCCACAGAGAACTCTAATGGCAGACTTGATCTAGCAGGAGACAAAAATCAGTGAACTCAAAGACAGGTTATTTGAAATTACCCAGTTAGAGAAACAAAAAGAAAAAATGAAAAAGAGTAAAGAAAGCCTGTGGGATACAATCAAACAGAACAATATATGAATAATGAAGTTCCAGAGGAGCATAGAAAAAGAATGGGACAGAAAACTACTTAAAAACATAACTACAGAAGAATTCCTGAATTTGGAAAGGAACACAAACATCCAGATCCATGAAGCTCAAATAGCCTAAAATAGATTAAACACAAATGGATAGTCACCAAAAACATTATAATCAAATTCTTTCTGTTTTTAGTTGTACTTTAAGTTCTGGGATACATGTGCAGAGCGTGCAGGTTTGTTACAGAGGTATACATGAGCCATGGTGGTTTGCTGCACCCATCAACCCCTCATCTACATTAAGTATTTCTCCTAATGCTATCCCTCCCCTAGCCTTCCACCCCCACACAGGCCCTGGAGTGTGATGTTCCCCTCCCTGTGTCCATGTGTTCTCATTGTTCATCTCCCACTTCTGAGTGAAAACATGCGATGTTTGGTTTTCTGTCCTTGTGTTAGTTTGCTGAGAATAATGGTTTCCAGCTTCATCCATGTCCCTGCAAAGGACATGAACTCATCCTTCTTTATGGCTGCATAGTATTCCATGGTGTATATGTGCCACATTTTCTTTATCCAGTTTGTCATTGATGGACATTTGGGTTGGTTCCAAGTCTTTGCTATTGTGAACAATGCCGCAATAAACATATGTGTGCATGTGTCTTTATAGTAGAATGATTTATAATCCTTTGAGTATATACCCAGTAATGGAATTGCTGGGTCATATAGTATTTCTGGTTCTAGATCTTTGAGGAATTGCCACACTGTCTTCCACAATGGTTGAACTAATTTACACTCCCACCAGCAGTGTAAAATGTTCCTATTTCTCCACATCCTCTCCAGCATCTGTTGTTTCCTGACTCTTTAATGATTGCCATTCCAACTGGCATGAGATGGTATCTCATTGTGGTTTTGATTTGCATTTCTGTAATGACCACTGATAATGAACTTTTTTTCCTATGTTTGTTGGCCGCATAAATGTCTTCTTTTGAGAAGTGTCTATTCATATCATTTGCCCACTTTTTGATGGAGTTGTTTGTTTTTTTCTTGTAAATTTGTTTAAATTCTTTGTAGATTCTGGATATTAGCCCTTTTTCAGATGGATATATTGCAAAAATTTTCTCCCATTCTGTAGGCTGCCTGTTCACTCTGATGATAATTTCTTTTTCTGTGCAGAAGCTCTTTAGTTTAATTAGATCCCATTTGTCTATTTTGGGTTTTGTTGCCATTACTTTTGGTGTTTTAATCATGAAGTCTTTGCCAATGCCTATGTCCTGAATGGTATTGCTTAGGTTTTCTTCTTGGGTTTTTATGCTTTTAGGTCTTACCTTTAAGTCTTGTATAATCAAATTCCTAAACGTAAACAACAAAGAGAATTTGAAAGTAGTAAGATAAAAACAACTGATTGCATACTAGGGAACAATCATAACATGGTCAGTGGATTTTTCATCAGAAACTTTGCAGGCCAGGAGACAGTGGGATGATATATTTTAAATGCTGAAAGAAAAAAAATGTCAACGAAGAATATTATACCTTCCAAAGCTGTCTTTCAGAAATAAAGGAAAGGTAAATAATTTCCCAGGTGAGCAAAAATTATGGGAGTTCATCACCACTATACCTGACTTACAAGAAACACTAGAGGGATTTCATCAAAGAGAAATGAAAGCAATAACTAAAAATATGACAACACATGAAAGTATAACATTGACTATAAGGAATATAGTCAAAGTTAGAATACTTGAATATTATAATGATAGTGCATACATCACTTGTAACTCTAATAATATAGAGGTTAAAAGTATTTAACAATAGCTACAACAATTTGTTAATGATACATAATATAAACAGTTATGTGCACAGGGCCAAGATGGCTGACTAGAAGCAGCAGCGGTGATGGGAGGCTCCCATCCAAAAAAACCAAAACAGCAGGTGAATTTTGCACTGGCAACCGAGGTATCCAGGTTCTGTCATCAGGACTGACTAGGCAGCTGGCATGACCCATGAAGAGGAAGGAAGAGCAGTGTGTTGCCGCAGCCCACCTGAGAGCCACTGACTCAGGACTGATAATAATAGTCTCTCAGACCACAGTGTAGTCAAATTAGAACTCAGGATTAAGAAACTCACTCAGAACCACACAACTACATGGAAATTGAACAACCTGCTCCTGAATGACTCATGGGTAAATAATGAAGTTAAGGCAGAAATCAAGAAGTTCTTTGAAACTAATGAGAACAAAGAGACAATGTACCAGAATCTCTGGGACACAGCTAAAGCAGTATTAAGAGGGAAATTTATAGCACTAAATGCCCACAAGGGAAAGATAGAAGGATCTCAAATCGACACCCTCACATCACAACTAAAGCACCTAGAGAAGCAAGAGCAAACAAATCCAAAAGCTAGCAGAAGACAAGAAATAACTAAGATCAGAGCAGAACTGAAAGAGATAGAGACATGAAAAACTCTTCAAAAAAATCAGTGAATCCAGGAGCTGTTTGTTTTGAAAAAATTAACAAAATAGATAGACCACTAGCTACATTAATAAAGAAGAAAAGAGAGAAGAATGAAATAGACACAATAAAAATAATAAAGGGGATATCACCACTGACCCCACAGAAATACAAACAATCATCAGAGAATACTATAAATACCTCTGTGCAAATAAACTAGAAAATCTAGAAAAAATGGATAAATTCCTGGACACATATACCCTCCCAAGACTAAACAATGAAGAAATCATATCCCTGAATAGACCAATAACAAGTTCTGAAATTGAGGCAGTAATTAATAGCCTACTAACCAAAAAAAAAAAAAAAAAAAAAAAAAAAAAGCCCAGGACCAGATGGATTCACAGCCGAATTCTACCAGAGGTACAAAGAGGAGCTGGTACTATTCCTTCTGAAACTATTCCAAACAGTTGAAAAGGAGGGACTCCTCCCTAACTTGTTTTATGAGGCTAGCATCACCCTGATACCAAAACCTGGTGGAGACACAACAAAAAAGAAAACTTCAGGCCAATGTCCTTGAAGAACATTCATGCGAAAACCCTCAATAAAATGCTGGCAAACTGAATCCAGCAGCACATCAAAAAGCTTATCCACCACAAGTAGGTTCCATCCCTGGGATGCAAGGCTGCTTTAACATATGCAAATGAATAAATGTAATCCATCACATAAACAGAAGCAATGACAAAAACCACACGATTATCTCAATAGATGCAGAAAAGACATTCAATAAAATCCAATATCCCTTCATGTTAAAAACTCTCAATAAACTAGGTATTGATGGAACATATCTCAAAATGATAAGAGCCATTTATAACAAACCAACAGCCAGTATCATACTGAATGGGCAAAAGTTGGAGGCATTCCCTTTAAAAACCAGCATGAGACAAAAATGCCCTCTCACATCACTCCTATTCAATGTGGTATTGGAAGTTCTGGCCAGGGCCATCAGGCAAGAGAAAGAATTAAAGAGTATTCAGATAGGAAGAGAGAAAGTCAAATTGTCTCTTTTTGAAGATGACATGCTTGTATATTTAGAAAACCCTATCATCTCAACCCCAAAACTCCTTAAGCTGATAAGCAACCTCAGCAAAGTCTCAGGATACAAAATCAGTGTGCAAAAATCACAAGCATTTCTATACACCAACAATAGATAGGCAGAGAGCCAAATCATGAATGAACTCCCATTCACAATTGCTACAAAGAGAATAAAATACCTAGGAATACAGTTAACAAGGGATGTGAGGGACCTCTTTAATGAGAACTACAAACCATCACTCAAGGAAATAAGAGAGGACACAAACAAATGGAAAAACATCCCATCCTCATGGATAGGAAGAATCAATATCATGAAAATGGCCATACTGCCCAAAGTAATTTATAGATTCAGTGCTATCCCCATCAAGCTACCATTGACATTCTTCACAGATTTAGAAAAAACTACTTTAAACTCCATGTGGATCTAAAAAAGAGCTGGTATAGCCAAGACAATCCTAAGCAAAAAGAACAAAGCTGGAGGCATCATGCTACTTGACTTCACACTATACTGCAAGGCTACAGAAACCAAAACACCATGGTACTGGTACCAAAACAGACATATAGACTAATGGAACAGA